>NC_000016.10:76077651-76380682 GCF_000001405.40 Homo sapiens | reverse complement strand
GGTAGTATCGCTACTTACAAATAAAAAAATTGGTGAATGTTTTCAAGAAAAAGAAAACCACTCCCCCGATCACATTTAGTTTCAAACCATGTCTTAGTCATCTTATTGTTACACTTCGCTTGAATCTATTCAAGTAATCACAAGCATTTTTAAAATGGGGAAAAATGCAGAAAAAAAATAGAGAATACAAAAATGCTCTAATAATTTCCCTTTAAAGTATAGCAATACTGATTTCAAAGTAATCTTGGAATCTGAAGGAAAGCATTGGGAACTTAATCCCCAATTTATTTTTATCAATGAGACTGAGAGACTGATTATGTGATACGGAGAGACCTGGAGTTTACCAGCACATACAAATCCTGGTCCTATACGCCTATACCAGAAACAGTATACTTCCCTTGACAATCACAGATGTCTGTCACCTTCTTCAACTTCACCTGATTTCCATATTAGCTACTACAAAGCCTCTAGTTATTATATCTTATTCAAAATGAAATAACTTTAGTGTATGCCACTAATTCTAAATGCATAGGGCCTTTATGAACACATTTTCCAGCATAATTGAACTCTAATATCTTGAAATACTACAACAGACTTGCGTTTTATCTGAAAAAATTAATTTCTCAAAAAATATTCACAACATTCACCACATAATTCTGACATCCTACATCAAGATTTATGCAAATGTCATTAAAGTAGATAGACAAAAATACTCGTAGTCAAGGACTTCACACCCTGAGGTCATGAAGATCCACACCATTATCTAGAAGTTAAGCATATCTTTGAAAATCTGAACTTAAGAGTAGAGAAATCCTTCACATATCATTAACCCAGGAACAGAACAGGAAGCAAGAATATTACGGATCCATGAATCAATTTGAAGAAAAGATAAGGACCATTGTCCTGGTCAGAACCAGCTAAGATCAGTCAGTAGTGATTGAAACTGATGTGTACACCTAACTACTAAATCAGAAGCAGAATATAGAAAGTCACTCAAAAGATAGTGTCACAGCTTGGTTAATCACCAGTTTCAATGGGAGGAAAAACTTGATTAATTGGTGCTTCTCAGATTAATGATAAAATGGCATTTGATTAATTAGGACGTGACCTCCGGCTGCAATGTACAAAGTAGAATGATAATATTAAGACAAAATCAGTTAGAGAAAGAGTAGTACATTTTGGAATTGACTCAGTTAAAGGAGGAAAAAGAACATAAAACTAACATCAACTCTAAACCCCAAACAAAGTTTAAACGAGAAAATATATTTGACAAATTACAATTGTAATGAAATGAAAAATTATAAATAGAATGAGAATTAGTAGAGGAAAACTACCTAACCTCCAGATTGTAGGGAGGTGGGGTAAGATATAAGAGTTTCTGTGAATCTCATTCTCTTTCAGGATGAACTTCCCTGACATGCTTCTATAGCCACAGCCAACAACCATGATTCTCTCGCATTCTTTCCTCCCATTTCCCATGTAGCACTGTGAATTGGAGTCATTTTTAAGTACCAGAAAGTAGGACTCGGATTCAGTTAGACCCTATGACACCCAAGGAATGGTGCAGAGCAAAAGGCATCCCATGAGCATGGATCTTTGAGTCCGGGGTAACCCTAAAGGTCACATGAACCCAGAGGCCCTAAGTTTACAGATGAGGAAACTGAGTCTCAATCACATTTTGAGTCTGAAGTCACAAACTTTGAGTCAAAGTCACAAATCAAGTGAGTTGTAGAAGTGGCCATAGAACTGAAGCCCTCTCTCTGATACATAAAGTTTCTTCACCACACAAAGATGGCTCAGGTTCCTCCTGTTCCGCAAACCTGAACTTGATGCACAGGCCTCCTCTTGGCCGACCCTAGGTGAGAACAGCTGGGCCGGGTTTTCTCCCTCACTGACATGGAGGACAGACTTTGCAGGAGCACAACATCCCTCAAAAGCTGTGTTCTATATGGAATCTTAAGGAAAGTATGTGAGATGCACCTAGAAAGCTGGAGTGTGGTCAGGGCTGAGACTGCAAGAATACACTGGACACAGACCATTCACAACAGTGAGGCCAGGGATACCCCAAGACTTACACCAAGGTCTACTCAGAAAGGTCCCCTTGTCTGTCCATTTCTAAACCCAGAACTTCCATGTCATGACCTGTGATATGGACAGACCTGGAGTTTACCAGCACATACAAATCCTGGTCTTATACACCTATGCCAGAAACAGTATACTTCCCTTGACAATCACAGATATCTGTCACCTTCTTCAACTCCATCTGACTTCCGTATTAGCTACTACAAAGGCTACTACAAAGAACATGTGGAGGCCTGGTTTTCCACTGCTGTCTTCTCTTTCTTCCAACGATCTTTTTTCTGCCATCCAGGGTCCTCATTATATTTTTTTATTTTTTAATTTGATAGATTTAGGGAGTATAACTGAAAATTGTTACATGGATATATTGTGCAATAATGAGTTCTGGGCTTTTAGTGTCCCCATCACCTGAATAGTGTACATTGTATCCCATAGGTAATTTTTCATCCCTCACCCTCTCCCATCCTCCCTCTTTTTAGAATCTCCAATAAACAAAAGAAACTCTCTTAATATTGTTATAAAATGAGAATTGAGAGTGATCTCTGGATTCGAGCAGCCTGGGTTTCTAATCCAGACTCCAGCAGGTACTGGTTGGTAGTTGTGAGAGGTGTGTAACTCCTGAAAACTTTAATTTATTCTTCTAGAAAAATGAAATGTGGGACAATGCACAGACAAAGCTTTGCATAATGCCACTAGCATGGTGAATTCATCCCACCTGAAATCCAAATGAACATTCTGGGACCTAAGGTGCAGTGTGCTAACTTTTCCCACATGCTATATTTCCATGGAGTCAGTAAGCATTTTTATAGTTCTTCTGTCAATTACAGAGAATTTTTATTTCTTCCTTGTAAAAATGAGGTGCCAAAAGAAAAAAATGAGGGAGAGAAAACACATTTATTCTCCTTTTTTATGAGTGTCAGCTGGTGATAGCAAACTTTGCCCCTCCAGACTGAGGTCCTCTGGCAAACCACAGGTCATTTCTTCACACCCCTTGCAACTCTCTGCTTCAAAAGCCTTGTGGTTGACCCATAAAACACCCTAAATGACTTTCACAGACTCCTCTTCAACACTTCCCTGCCCACACCTTCTTCTTAATCATTTCCTAGCATTGCACCATCTTTGAAATTATAAACGTGTATATTCTATTCTTCCACCATAGACCACTGAATCTTTCCGACTCTCTTCCATCATTCCATTTTTATTTGCTTTTCAGCCTCAGTAACTCCATGCTTCCTTAGACACTTTCCATCTTTGTGATGGTTAAAGTTATGCATCACCTTGACTAGGCTACCATACCCACACATTTGGCCAAACATTATTCTAGATGTTTCTTTAAAGGTATTTTTAAATGAGATTAATATTTAAATCCATAGACACTAAGTAAAGCAAATTATCTTCATAGTATGGGTGGGCCTCATCTAATCAGTTGAAGGTCTCAATATATGAAAAAAAAGACTGACTTCCCTGGAATAAGAGGGAATTCTGCCAGCACACTGCCTTTGGACTTAAACTGCAACTCTGCCCTGAGTCCTAAGCCTGCCAGCCTACCCTGCAGATTTTGGACTTGCCAAGCCTGTCGATTGCACGAGCCAACTCCTTAAAATAAATCTCCCATCTCTCCCAACCTCCATACATGTATGTATATGTGTACACACACACACACACACACACACACACACACACACACACACACACAAACCTTGTTAGTTTTGTTTCTCTGGAGAATCCTAACTAATACAATCTCCTATCAACCTCACCCTCCCTGACTTCACTTCCTTTTCTACATGGTTCTGACTCCATGGTACTTCTCTTCCTCCATGCTCTTGCCAGCCCCTATATGTCCTTGTCCTAGTGTCCTACCATCACAGTATCCCTGTGGATTCCAACCCTGGGTCCTAAATGTCTATGCCCTCAGTTCCTGTGTATGCACAGTTGCACACAGCTGCAGAAGGCCATATCACAGTCTGCACAGGTGACCTGTTCATGCCCTTTGGCCAACGCTGGGCTCTCCGACTGTGTGGGGATACTTTTCCAAGGAGGTACCATTCTCACACCTCCCTCTTTGCTCTCAGTAAATATACGATCTCTTTGCATATGAAAGGTCCTTTATATAGACTGAAGTCTAAACCTGTCTTTACTTTTTTTCTTCCTTTATAATAAGAAGACATGTCTCTTCCAAGCCAACTGTGATTTGAATCCTCTCACTCCATCACATACGCTCTCGAATGGCCTTTATGTTAGGCAGTCCTTTCCCTTTCTCTTGGGGTAGTATTTGCTGTTTTCTCTTTTCCACTCCACATCAAATTTCCTTTCCGAAAACCGCTGCACTCAGTGAGACATCTACTCTCACCTTTTAGCTGAATTGCTGATAACCTCAGATCTATGTTAATTTTGCATGAGTTGTATTTTTTTTGCATTTAATTGCATAAAGGTTTTCTTCCTTGCTTGCTTTTCTTTATTTCCCTCTTTTTTCCCTTCCCCTTTATCTCTTCCTCACTCTTTCTCTCCCTCCCCCTAACTCTCTCCTCCTCCACCTCCTCCTCTTTCTCCTGCTCCTTCTTGTCTCCTTTTGTATTTAACTTTCACACAAACTCTTTCATGTGTATAGTATTGCTACGCTTATTTTACAGAGGAGGTAAAAGCAACTGCCCAAGGTCACACAGCTTGCATGAGATGGAGCCTGCATCTGAATGCATGCAATCTGATAACAGAGATGACATCCTTAACTGCTATTCATCGCCTTCCATCTCATCTTTCTTTTTAGTGCTGTGGCTCCAGCACTGACCTTGAACTGACAATCCGACTATTCAAGTCACTCTTGGCTCACACAACAGAAGGAGGCTCACTATTTCCATATAGCCAATGTAAACTTCCCTGCAGAAAATGAGACAATGTGTTCATGATGTTTGCTACCCTAGCCCCAGATTATTAGATCTACTCACATTTACTACACTTCTGATGCAGGAGCCTGGGGGTGGGGACTTCAATGGAGGAGAGAAGAGAATGATTCACAAGGACTTTTCCTGGAGCAAAGGTAAGAGCCAACCTTGTTCTACTGTGTGCTAGAACGTGAAAAGTCGCACAGCTTTCCTACATGACAAAAGACCCCAGTGCAAAGCCCTATGCAATATTCAAAGTAGGACGAGATAGAATAAATATATTTCATAAATTTATGCCTTTTTCTGAGACAGCCTTGCTCTGTCACCTAGGCTGGAGTGCAGTGTCGTGATCTCAGCTTACTGCAACCTCCCCCTCCCAGGTTCAAGTGATTCTCTTGCCTCAGCCTCCCCAGTAGCTGGGACTGCAGGCACATGCCACCACGCCTGGCTGATTTTTGTAATTTTAGTGGAGACAGGGTTTTACCATGTTAACCAGGCTGGTCTCGAACTTCTGACGTCAAGTTATCCACCCGCCTCAACCTCCAAAAGTGCTGGGATTACAGGCATGAGCCACTGCACCTAGTAAATACGTGCCTTTAAATCACACAAATAGTACTTTCTTCTTGGTGAAAATTTCTCTTAAAAAAAGTTCTGCTGGCCGGGCGTGATGGCTGACGCCTGTAATCCCAGCATTTTGGGAGGCCAAGGCGGGCAGATCACCTGAGGTCAGGAGTTCGAGACCAGCCTGGCCAACATGGTGAAACCCCATCTCTACTAAAAAAGACAAAAATTAGCCAGGCATAGTGGCAGGCACCTTAATCCCAGCTACTTGAGAGGCAGAGGCAGGAGAATCATTTGAACCCAGGAGGCAGAGGTTGCTGTGAGCCGAGATTGAGCCATTGCACTCAAGCCTGGGGGACAAGAGCGAGACTTCTCTCAAATAATAATAATAATAATAATAATAATAATAATAATAATAATAGTGTCATAGTCAAGTATATACTTTATTCAACTTAGATGGATTAAATGTTCACAGACTAAAAATTTTGAAAAATGCAAACTAAGAAAGTGAGAGTAATGTACACGGAAATTCAATGTTTGTGTGTACATAAATACAAAGAATTTGATTTTATGAGAACAAGAAGGCTGGACAGACCAATTTATTTCCAATCCAGATAAATTTCATTATTTACCTATCATTGTTCACATAAAGAGTTTTAAGGTGAGCACAGTTCCCTGTGAGTTTAATTAATTCATGTATTTATTCTGATTTAAGGATCAGAAATTGATTTTCAAAGTGATATATTAATTTTTTTACATTATTTCAGGGTAGAGTACAAAGATGGAATTAGTAACATAATCGCTTTGTAGCTCTTGGGATAATTTTCTGCAACTTTCCACAAACTCGCTAAAATAAATAGAAGATTCTTTTCTCTGAAACTGATATTCTCTAGCCCGACCCAAATTCATGATTATTCTGAACATAATGTAATAAAGTGATTGCCCCCTGAGGATGTCTTTTCACTGCTCCAGCAATTTTTCTCTCCTCTCTCACTTACTGAAAAAGAATCCTATTATTAGGTACTTAAAATGCTCATGGCTTCAAAAGGGAGACAACGTTTCAGTATGAGAAATTAACATGAAGCAACCCAAAATGAAAGAATGGTATTCAAAAGCCAATTACAAATTTTATTTGTTAGACACAAAACAAGTGATTCATTTTGGACTGTATCTCTTATCTCTCTGATTTATAGACACAATTCTGTAGGCTATGTCTTAGTATTTTGGCTTCCTGTTTCCTTTCCTTTTCTTTTTTTTTTTTTTTTTGTGAGATGGAGTTTCACTCTTGTCACCCAGGCTGGAGTGCAATGGCGTGATCTTGGCTCATTGCAACCTCCACCTCCCGAGTTCAAGTGACTCCCCCACCTCAGCCTCCCAAGTAGCTGGGATTACAGGCGCCTGCCACCATGCCTGGCTAATTTTTGTATTTTTAGTAGAGATAGGGTTTCACCATGTTGGCCAGACTGGTCTTGAACTCCTGAGCTCAGGTGATCCACCTGCCTCGGCCTCCCAAAGTGCTGAGATTACAGGCATGAGATGAGCCACTGCGCCTGTCCAGTTTCCTCCTTTCATACTCATAGCTACTTCTGGACAAATGTCCTAACATTTGAATCTTTTCCTAAAACCATGGCTCTTCTAAGTCACCCAAAGTATTTTTTGTGAACATTTCTGAAAGGAGTAAATTTAGTGCAGATAATAATAAAAAGAAAAAATCTTAGACAAGGCCAATTTAGAGGTATGACTTATAAAGGCAATTGGGAATATGGATAGATAAAGCTATGTAGTTCAAGTCCTGGTTTTTATGACTAAGAATGTTTCTTTTACATATTTTTGTGAAATATACTCCACATATTTATGTGGAATATATTTCACATATTTATGTGGAATATATTTCACATATATATGTGGAATATATTCACCTATTTATGTGGAATATATTCACCTATTTATGTGGAATATATTCACCTATTTATGTGGAATATATTCACCTATTTATGTGGAATATATTCACCTATTTATGTGGAATATATTCACCTATTTATATGGAATATATTCACATATTTATGTGGAATATCAGATGTACACCCTCATAGTCTCAGTTTGTACAGTGACCCCTGTGCTGTAAACCAGCAGACACATCAGATTATTGTATTTCAGATTCGAAGTAATCATGAAAAGTGTTTCTTTATACTCAAATAATATTATCAATATCTCTTCGAAACCACATTAGCAACAAAGCATGGAGTTTCTATCTTCTGGGAATTCATAGCCTTAAGAAATAGGTACACTTTTCAATAAAGATAATATACATAGTATGCATTTTAGCCAGTAGCACTTGAGTAATTATTTATGTCAAAGGTATAATTCGAAACCAGGCCAATGTATTAGTCCATTTTCATGCTGTTGATAAAGACATATCCAAGACTGGGTAATTTATAAAGAAAAAGAGGTTTAATGGACTTAGTTCCATGTGGCTGGGGAGGCCTCACAATCATGGCAGAAGGCATGTCTTACATGGTGGCAGAAAAGACAGAATGAGAGCCAAGCGAAAGGGGAAACCCTTTACAAAACCATCAGATCTCATGAGACTTACTCACTACCAGGAGAACAGTATGGGGGAAACTGCCCACGTGATTCAATTATCTCACATTGGGTCCCTCCCACAACACGTGGAAATCATGCGAGCTACAACTCAAGATAAGATTTTGGTGGGACCAGCAGGGCACGGTGGCCCACGCCTGTAATCCCAGTACTTTGGGAGGCCGAGGCGGGCAGATCACGAGGTCAGGAAATCGAGACCATCCTGGCTAACACAGTGAAACTCTGTCTCTACTAAAAATACAAAAAAAAAAAAAAATTAGCTGGGCCTGGTGGCGGGCGCCTGTAGTCCCAGGTACTCGGGAGGCTGAGGCAGGAGAATGGCATGGACCTGGGAGGCGGAGCTTGCAGTGAACCGAGATTGCGCCACTGCATTCAAGCCTGGGCAACAGAGTGGGACTCCGTCTCAAAAAAAAAAAAAAAAAAATTTGGGCTGGAACACAACCATTATCAGCCAACATATAAGTAGAATGAAATAGAACAAAAATAGATGGGTGAATTGGAAATTCGGTTGATTAAAGTTATACAAACCCTGCAAAGCAATGCAGAGACTCCCTGGAAATAACACTATCACAGATGTCATTGGAAGTAAGAACTTAGAGATGATTAAGTGAATATTGGAAAAGTGAGGGGCAAAAGTGGACCTGAGAGGTAAGTGACTTGATTGTGTTTGGAAAGCCCTGATTGAAAGGGATGAACTAAAGCTTGTTTGGCAGACATGCCTTAGATAACTGAAGAGTATCACCCAGAAGAGAAATAGGAAAGTACAAGAAACTTTGGAGAATGTCTTAAGAGCAACAATTAAACACCTGAGCTTGGAGCTGTGTTGCACAAGGAAACCATCAGTGAAATATGCCAAGGTTAGGACTGGACAGAGCCATAAGATCTTCCAGCTAAGCAAAACATTTCAATAAAACTTAGTAATGTGCTTTCCTTTGCATACCAAGTGTGTGTTGTAACCTTGTCCCAGAAGTGACAACAGGCCAGGTGTGGTGGCTCATGCCTGTAATCCCAGCATTTTGGGAGGCTGACGTGGGCAGATCACCTCAGGTCAGGAGTTCGAGACCAGACTGGATAACATGGTGAAACCCTGTTTCTACTAAAATTACAAAAATTAGCCAGGCGGGAGGCACGCACCTGTAATCCCAGCTACTCAGGAGGCTGAGGCAGGAGAGTCGCTTGAATCCGGGAGGTGGAGGTTGCAGTCAACCAAGATCGTGCCACTGCACTCCAGCCCAGGCGACAGAAGAAGATCCATTTCAAAACAAAACAAAACAAAACAAAAAACGAAAACAGATGTGTATTAAGGTACATATATACCCTGGTCCTCCTCAGTGAACTCTGGAGCTCATGTGTAAGATGTTTGATGTTTGATCATCTGTAAGATGTTTGCTATTTTTTCCCACATAGAAAGCAAATCTATGTTTTGAACTCTAACACATATTTTGAGAAATAAAGAATTGAATCGATAATTGATTAAGGAGAGCACCACTCTACTTACTCAGTGTCGATTATGTGGCAAAAATGACCCTAAACCAATGGTTCAGCATTTTTCATGGATTCCCTTCTTTCAGGACATTGAAAGACTGTTCTTGGCTAGCTTTGCCTACTCATAAATATTACCAGGACAGAAGAGCGCTAAATGTAACATTTTATACATGTGGCACTAGTTAACATAAATTTAGGGGGAAACTTATCTTAAATCTCAATTTCCTCAGTATCAAAATATTGATCTATTTTCTTTATGGGTTGAAAGGGAAGCATGCAATTTCAAAACTGAAAGGGAATGAGGAATCACTCAGTAAGTACTTGGATTCTGCCTGCATCCTCTTCTATAAGCAAAGAAAAAGCAGCTCATAGAGGCAATTTGTCGTTAGTAACATACCTTCTTCAGGCTGTCCTCATCGTTCTGTTTCACTTAGAACCACGTGTCACCCTTTCCCTGCTCTGACCCAAAACATTAGAGGGCTGAGTGACGTGGACTGTGTCCCAGGCTCCTGTATTAAGGAGCTTCCAGCTGGGAACTTGAAAAAGATCTGCAAGTGAAAGGAAGGGAGGAACCAGGGTATTTCTTCCCACTTTTGCTCTGCCTCAGGCTGCTACTTGGTAGTGGCTGAGCCTTTTACAAGGCTCCAGCCCCCAAAAGATACCCACTGCTTCCATAATTCTATAGGGCAGTCCTTGCAGAAGTTCTAGCATTCTGAGGTAACTTGTTTCTCTGATGGGGCACTGGCGCAGAGGACAATTTAGAACCAGAACTAAGGATTTTTTTTTTTCTGTCAGAATACACTCAGATTAGATGACATGCTGCACATATGAAACCCACACAGCTATATATATGGATTTAAACTACTAAAATATTGAACAATAATCTGTTGTGATGCTTTGTATTGACAACCAAGGTACGCTTTATTCTATCAGTAAATGTTACCAGATATTATCGTATAACAAGTAGGAGATAGCTATTGTTTATGTGAGGGTTCATTTGATATTTCCACATGACTAGGTAAAGGTGTACCCAGACAGCTGGCAAAATATTATTTCTGAGTATGTCTGTGAGGGTGTTTCCAGAAGAGATTGCATTTGAATTGGTAGACTGAGTAAAGAGACCTGCCCTCACCATTGTAGGCAGATATAATCCAATCCATTGAAGGCTAAAATAGAACAAAACGGAGGAGAAAGGGCAAATCCTCTCTCTCTCTCTCTCCCTCCCTCCCTCTCTTTGAAACAGGGTCTCACTCTGTTGCCCAGACTGGAGTACAGTGGCACAATCTCAGCTCACTGCAACATCTGCTTCCCAGGCTGAAGCGATCCTCCTGCCTCAGCCTCCTGAGTAGCTGGGACTACAGGCATGCACCACCCCACCTGGTTAATTTTTGTGTTTTCTGTAGAGATGGAGTTTCACTATGTTGCTCAGGTTGCTCTTGAACTTCTGGGCTCAAGTAATCCTCCCACCTTGGCTTCCCAAAGGGCAGGGATTACAGGCATGAGCTACTGTGCCTGGCTCTCTCTTCTTGAGCTGAAGCATTCATGTTCTTCTGCCTTTGGACATCTGAGCTTCTGGTCCTTGGGTCTTCAGACTTAGACTAAATTAGACCACCAGCTTTCCTGGTTATCCTGCTAAAAGACAGCAGATGGTAGAACTTCTTGGTCTCCATAATTGCATAAACCAGTTCCCATTTCATGTATATACTTGGTTCCATTTCTCTGGAAAACCCTGTCTATCTTGTATTAAACAGCAGTAACCATAATACCATGGGTGTGATGCAGTAGCTTAAAAATTTTAAAGAAAAATTATATGAAATGAATAACTTAAAATGAAAGAACGTATTATTTTGTTATATTGCACACATTGGAAAATAATGTCTAAAATATTGCAGTTTCAAATGTTTTCATTCCAATCTTTTAGGATGTGTTATTTCTATTTTGAATGAGGTTGAAGATACTTTTATATATTTATATATCATTTTTTCCTTTCTATGAACTGCCTGTTTATATAATGGCTCTTTTTTTTTTAACCAAAAAACGAAAAAACAAAAAAAACTAAGGCTTTATTTTTTACTGTTTTTTAGAAAGTTTCATACTTATACTATGTTGAGAATTTTTGTGATGATGGAAGTGTTCCATAACTGTTCTGTCTAATCCAGTAACCACTGGTCTAACGCAGCCATTGAGCTCTTCAAATGGGGCGAGTGTAAACTGAGGAGCTTTATTTTTAATTTAATTAATGTAATTTTATTTTTTTATTATACTTAAGTTCTGGGATACACGTGCAGGATGTGCAGGTTTGTTACATAGGTATACATGTGCCATGGTGGTTTGCTGCACCCATCAACCCATCATCTACATTAGGTATTTCTCCTAATGCTATCCCTCCCCTTGCCCCTTACCCCACAACAGGCCCCGGTGTGTGATGTTCCCCTCCCTGTGCCCATATGTTCTCATTGTTCAACTCCCACTTATGAGTGAGAACATGCTGTATTTGGTTTTCTGTTCCTGTGTTGGTTTGCTGAGAATGATGGTTTCCAGCTTCATCCATGTCCCTGCAAAGGACATGAACTCATTTTTTAGGGCTGCATAGTATTCCACAGTGTATATGTGCCACATTTTCTTTATCCAGTCTATGATTGATGGGCATTTGGGTTGGTTCCAAGTCTTTGCTATTGTGAATAGTGCTGCAATAAACATACGTGTGCATGTATCTTTATAGTAGAATAACTTATAATCCTTTTCAGTGACCCTGTGTGGCTAGTAGCTACCACATGTAAAAGCAGAGATTTGGATATTAAGAAAATTGTGTCATTATTATTGGGAATATAGAGTTAATCTCTAAGCTGTAGCTTTTTTCCTACTCTTTATCTTTAGCCAAATCCTTCTTGCAACATTAACTCAAAGAATGTGCAGGAGAATCTAAGATGAATGGATATCCTGCTGGTATGTTTTGTACTGAACTAAAAACCTGTACCTGGTTGTCAAGATTACTGAGCAACCCAATGTTTCTCATACTTTGCAGCTAATTGAAATCACTTGGGAATATTTTTAAAATTCTAATTTAAAAATCTGGGCTCCCACCTCTAGACAGTCTCCCTAGGTACCAGAATTAGAATGCACAGTGAAATTTAGCTATCACAGACATAACCTGGAAATCAGTGAATAGCCTAGGACTGATAAGATACCAGCTACATTGGAGAACAGTTGGCAAGTATCCCTGAGAAGTTACATCACTAATGTAATGTAAGAGCTGAAGGACCCCTGGAGCTGATGGCTTTCCTGATGTGTGGTGGCGACACCCACTAAGCCAGTGACAGTTATTCAGATATTTAAAAGTTGTTCAATAACACCCACCAAGCCAGTGACAGTTATTGGGATATTTAAAAGTTGTTCATGATAGCTGAACATCTATTATGCTGTTGCTGTGCATGCTGTGTGGTTGCCTGCCCTTTATTATTTTTAAATCTAAGTAAATATGTAGCTGAATGAAGCCTATTCAGTCAGTCAGAATGTCAGTCTTAACCAAAGACCACTGCTGCTGCTGAATAAATGTGGGCATTGCTATCATATAGGCTAAAAATATTTCCCAATGTATACCCTTTCTTTTATGTTATATATGTTATATTTTTATGCAGCCTTCCATATATTATCTAATTTTTCATCTTTTCCTTTATGGCATTTGGGTTTGGTTCCCTTTGCCTAGAAAGACAGGCCCCGTCCAATATTACATGTGTATCTTTACATTGTCCTATATTTTCTTTTAATACTTTTTTCTGCATCTGTATTACTTTTAAATATTTATATTAAATCTATTTTGATATAAACAAGTTATCTACTTTTCTAGAAGGCTATGATTTCCATATTGACTAATACATATTTCCTTAAATATGTATTAAGCTTTTCAATGCTGTATCTATTTTATGCAAATCCCTAAATGTATTTGGACATAGTAACAGATGTCCCATGTGTTCTTATACCATATTTTAATGTGCCAGTATCAATAAGTTTTAATTAATATATATTAATAAATTTTTTGTAACATGTAAATTCTCCTTACCATTATTGTTTTTGCTAATTAACTTAGTTATTTCTCATATACATTTTTCTATATGACATTCAGAATGATCTCATTTATATGGATGATTTTAGGGAGAATGAATAGCTTTATAATATTATCTTTTACTCAAAAGCAGATACATCCTTGCATTTAATCAAGTGTTCTTCTATGTCCTTTAGTAATATTCTAAATAGTTCTTTTTTTGTTTCTTGTACATATTCTATTACATTTTTTTCCTTGATATCTTTTCATTTTTTGGATTACTTATACACTGTTGGTGGGAGTCTAAATTAGTTCAACCATTGTGGAAAGCAGTATGGCAATTCCTCAAAGAGCTAAGAACCATTTGACCCAGCAATCCCACTACTGAGTACATACCCAGAATAGTAGAAATCATTCTACCACAAAGACACATGCACGCAAATGTTTACTGCAGCACTAGTCACAATAGCAAAGACATGGAATCAACATAAATGCCCATCAATGAAAGACTGGATAAAGAAAATGTGATACATATGCATCATGTAATACTATGCAGCCGTAAGAAAAGAATGAGATTATGTCTGTTTTGGGAACATGGATGGAACTGGAGGCCATTATCATTAGCAAACTAATGCACGAACAGAAAACCAAATGCTATATGTTCCTACTTATAAGTGGGAGCTAAATGATGAGAACTCATAAACACAAGGAAGGGAACAACAGACACTGGGGCTTACTTGAGAATGGAGGGTGGGAAGACAGAGAGGAGCAGAAAAATTAACTATTGGGTACCAGGCTTAGTACCTGGCTGACAAAATAATCTGTACAACATGAGTTTAACTATACAACAAACCTGCACATGTATCCCTGAACCTAAAAGTTTAAAAAAATTTCAGCAAATTTTTTATAATTTGACACGAAACTAAAAAGGTAAATGTAAATGCACAAAGATAAAAAAACTTAAAGTCAAAAAATTAAAACATAAAAGACAACAATAACAAAAAAGCATATCAGGATCAACAAGAGTAGCTTCAGAATATATATTTCCATGAAGATAAATTAAGCAAATCAATAAATAATAAACCCAACTTCCAATCTAATCTAGTTTGGATTCTATTACAAATGGCGTTTGTATTTCTTTTACATTGTCCATGTAGTTATTTATATCTAGGAAGAGAACTTAAGAATTTAAAAATTAATTTTGTTGTTAGAAGCATTACTGAATTACCTTTATAAAAAGTAATTACCCAGATGATTCTCTTAGGTTTTTTTTTTTTTTTTTTTGAGACGGAGTCTCACTCTGTCCCCCAGGAAGGAGTGCAGTGGCGTGATCTCAGCTCACTGCAACCTCAGTCTCCCAGGTTCAAGCAATTCTCCTGCCTCAGCCTCGCAAGTAGCTGGGATTACAGGTGTCCGCCACTATACCCGGGTAATTTTTTGTATTTTTAGTAGAGACAGGATTTCACCATGTTGGCCAGGCTAGTTTTGAACTCCTGATCTCACGTGATCCACCCGCCTTGGCCTCCCAAAGTGCTGGGATTACAGGTGTGAGCCACAACGCCTGGCCAGAGTTTTTAAGAAATATAATTGTATCCACTTCAAATCTTAGTTTCTCCATTGACTTTCTTCACAGAATTAGCAAAAAATACTTTAAATTTCATATGGAACCAAAAAAGAGCCCACATAGCCAAGATAATCCTAAGCAAAAGAACAAAGCTGGAACCATCACAGTACCTGACTTCAAACTATACTACAAGGCTACAGTAACAAAAACAGCATGGTACTGATATCAAAACAGATATATAGACCAAGGGAACAGAACAGAGGCCTCAGAAATAACGCCACACATCTACAACCATCTGATCTTTGACAAACCTGACAAAAACAAGCAATGGGGAAAGGATTCCCTATTTAATAAATGGTGTTGGGAAAACTGGCTAGCCGTATGCAGAAAGCTGAAACTGAATCCCTTCCTCACACCTTATGCAAAAATTAACTCAAGATGGATTAAAGACTTAAACGTAAGACCTATAACCATAAAAACCCTAGAAGAAAACCTAGGCAATACCATTCAGGACCTAGGCATGGGCAAAGACTTCATGACTAAAACACCAAAAGCAATGACAACAAAAACCAAAATAGACAAATGGGATCTAATTAAACTAGAGAGCTTCTGCACAGCAAAAGAAACTATCATCAGACTGAACAGGCAACCTACAGAATAGTTGTAAATATTTTTTAATCTCGTCTCTATTTAAAATATACTTAATAAAGTATATAAATTAAAGATGGAAAATTAGCAAAGTGAATGGGAAGTATTAGTTTTGTCTAGGTCCTAAGGAACAATGAAGAAACACTTCAAAGGAACAGAACTGCTTCCAAGATTGAAAAATGCAAAATGTAGCCTCCTGGGGAATGAAGCAGCCAAAAAGCAGATGTCTAAGACACAGTATCGCAGCCGTGGTAAGAGGGAATAGAGAAAAGGGAGTGATGTTGTCATTGAATTGTCACATGGTAGAATGTGAGATACAAGTTATCAAGTGTTTTAAAAATGTTGTTCTCAGGTTGATTATTTGAAAATGAACTGGAATGGGGGTGTACACTCTGAAGAGGCACCAAATTAAATTCCCTGTTAACTCTAGTCCCTCTCTTCAAATAAATTTTTTGCTTGCTTACAAACAGATCCATTTAAAGACTGTGAAGCAATATCACAATTTATCTCACATTGCTATGTGTATCTACAGCTCATAAGAGTTCATATATTTTTTCTTTTCTGTTTTTTTTTTTTTTTTTTTTTTTTTTGAGATGGAATCTCGCTCTGTTGCCCAGGCTGGAATGCAGTGGCATATCAGCTCACCGCAACCTCCACCTCCCAGGTTCTAGTGATTCTCATGCCTCAACCTCCAGAGTAGCTGGGATTACAGGTGTGCACCACCATGCCCAGCTAATTTTTGTATTCTTAATAGATACAGGATTTTACCATACTGGCTAGGGTGGTCTCAAACTCCTGGGCTCAAGTGATGCACCCACCCCAGCCTCCCAAAGTGCTGGGATTACAGGCCATATGTATTTTTTTGTATATTATATATTAAGGTAAAGCTCCAATATACATGCACCTCACAGAAGTTTATGAGAAGGGATTGATGTAACATGCTATAGAATGTGCACAGATGCAAAGAGATGAAACAGAGCCACCGACACTACTTAATGAAGAAGATGCCTAGCAAACTAACTGTGTTGACTTGTGATTGAGGTCATATTTAAAACCCAAATGCTTTTTTAATACTAACTCCCTATCAGATACATGGTTTCCAAATATTTCTCTCATTCTTTAGGATGCCTGTTCACTTTGTTGTATGCTATACAGAAGGTTTTTGTTGACGTAGTTCCACTTGTTTATTTTTCATTTTGTTGTCTGTGCTTTTGGTATATTTAAAAATATTTATGCATTACCAAGACCAATGTCGTGAAGCTGTTTCTGTACGTTTTTTTCTAGCAGTTTTACAGTTTCAGGTTTTCCATTTAAGTCTTTAACCCATTTTGAGTTAATTTTTGCATACGGTATAAGGGTCCAGGCTGGGCGCAGTATCTCACGCCTGTAATCTCAGCACTTTGGGAGGCCAAGGTGGGTGGATTGCCTAAGGTAGGGAGTTTGAGGTCAGCCTGGCTAACATGGTGAAGCCCAGTCTCTACTGAAAATAAAAAATTAGCTGGGTATGGTGGCACACACTTGTAATCCCTGCCACTCAGGAGGCTGAGGCAGGAGAATCACTTGAACCCAGGAGGCAGAAGTTGCAATGAGCCGGGATCCACTGCCACTGCACTCCAGCCTGGGTGCAAGAGTGAGACTCCAACTCCCAAAAAAAAAAAAAAAAGATAAGGGTTTAATTTCATTGTTTTGCATGTGGATATCCAGTTTACCCAGTAGCATTTGTTGAAGAGACTATACATTCCCCATTGTCTATTTTTTTTTTTTTAATAGAGCATGGGTCTTGCTATATTGCCCAGGCTGGTCTTGAACTCCTGGCCTCAAATGATACTTCCTCCTCCTCCCAAAATGCTGGGATTACAGGTATAAGCTGCCATGCCTGGCCCCCATTGTGTATTCTTTTTTCCTTATTTTATTAACTTCTATTTTAGGTTCAGGCATACATGTGCAGGTTTGTTATATAGGCAAATTGTATGTCACAGTGGTTTTATGTACAGATTATTTTGTGACCTAGGTAATAAGCATAGTACCTCACAGGTAGTTTTTTGATCCTCACCCTCCTCCCACCCTCCACCCTCAATTAGGTTCTGGTGTGTACTCTTCCCTTCTTTATCTCCATATGCACTCTATGTTCCCATTTATAAGTGAGAACATGCAGTATTTGGTTTTCTGTTCCTTTGTTTGTTCTTGACACCCTTGTGAAAGATCAGTAGACCATAGATGTATGGGTTTATTTCTGGACTTTATGCTGTTTTATTGGTCTATATGTCTGTCTTTATGCCAGCACCATATTGTAGCTTTGTAATATATTTTGAAATCAGATGTGTGATGTCTCTAGCTTTGTTCTTTCTCAGGATTGTTTTGGATATTCAAAAAACATGTTTGTGGTTCTACCTAAATTTCTGGTTTTATATAAATCTTAGGATATTTTTTCTATTTCTGTAACAAAATGCCACTGGGATTTTGATAGGGATTGCATTGAATCTATAGATTGCTTTGAGTAGTATAGACATTTCAACAATATTAAGTCTTCTAATCCATGAACACAGAAATTTTTTCATTTATTTGGTTCTTCTTTCACTTCTTTCAGCAATGTTTTGTAGTTTTCAGTGTACAGCTCTTTTGTTCCCATGGTAAAGTTTATTCCTAAGTATGTTATTCTTTTTGATACTATTCTAAATGAGACTATGTTTTAAATTTCCTTTTTGGATCATTTATCGTTAGTATGTATAAACTAAATATATAATAATAGTATAGTAAAAATATATCAGTAACTTCCCCAACTCAATAGCATAAAAAGGGGAAAAAACCTGATTTTAACATGAGCAAAAGCATTGAGCAGACAGTTCTCCAAAGAAGATATACACATAACCAGCAGGTTGGTGAAAAGATACTCAACATTTCCAGTCATCAGGGAAATGCAAATCAAAACCACAGTGAGATATCACCTCACACCTGTTAGGATATCTGTCATTTAAACAAGGAAAACAAAAGATAACAAGCAGTGACAAGAAATTGGAGAAATCGGAACCCTAGTACATAGTTGGTAGAAATTTAAAATGGTACAACCACCATGGAAAACAGCATGCAGTATGGAATTTCCTCAAAAATTAAAAACTGAAATTCCATGTGATTCAGCAATCCTGATCCCAGGTATTTATCCAAAAGAACTGAAATCAGGATCTCAAAGAGACATCTGCACCCTCATACTCATTGCATCATTATTTACAACAGCGAAGAAGTGGCAACAACCTAAATGTCCATAGGCAAATGAATAGATTTTAAAATTGTGGTATTTACATGAAATGGAATGTTCCTCAGCCTTAAAAAAAAAGAAAGCACATTCTGCCTCAAAATTCTTTCAGCACAAACAAACTTTGACGACATAACGCTAAGTGAAATAAGCCAGTCACAGAAGAACAAATAATGCATGTTGCCACTTTCATATGAGGTACATGTATCTAAAATAGTCAAATCTATAGAGGCAGAAAGTTGAATGATGGTTGCCAGGGGATAGGAAAAGGGTGAAATGAGGAGGTGTCATTCAACAGATTAAATGTTCCAGTTAAGCAAAACGATTGAGTCCTGCAGATCTGCCTTACAACACTGTGCTTATAGTGAACAGTATTGTACTGTGCACTTAAAAATTTGTCAAGACGTTAGATTTCATGTTAAGTTTTTTTTTAACACAATTATAAAAAATGGGCCGGGCGCGGTGCCTCATGCCTGTAATCCCAGCACTTTGGGAGGTTGAGGCAGGCGGACCACGAGGTCAGCAAATCGAGGCCATCCTGGCTAACGTGGTGAAACCCCGTATCTACCAAAAATACAAAAAAAAAAAAATTAGCCGGGTGTGGAGGCAGGCGCCTGTAGTTCCAGCTACTAGGGAGGCTGAGGCAGGAGAATGGTGTGAACCCAGGAGGTGGAGCTTGCAGTGAGCCGAGATCGTGCCACTGCACTCCAGCCTGGGCAACAGAGCGAGACTCCATCTCAAAAAAAAAAAAAAAAAAATGCAGCCATGTTTTAACCAGGCATTAGCAGGTTAATCATTTTCAAAAGCTAGAGAATGTGGAGCTAAATAGAAATATAAACAGGAAACTTCCTGAAGATTTAGACTAATAATGTAGACTTTCATTAAAATATGTTTTGGATCAGTCTCTTGAAAGATAAAAGCAGCTGCAGGCACTCTCTAGGCATTTGCCAAGTACTAAGCAAGTACTGCAGTGCATTAAGTTTGACAGCTTGACATGTTCACACACTTGGCGTTAGTATTGCTACAACTTCTATCACCACAAATGCTGCTTGTAGGCTTAGGTCAAGAGAATAAGGGCTCAACATAAGGAAGGAAAAATGCCACTCACAAGGAGGAGAGTCACCTACCCTACAGCTTATATCTCTTTTGCACTTCTGCCTCCTCAGATTTTCTATTAAACTATCCCTAGGCCCTTATTTGACTTAAAACAAATGCATGTGGAAATCTTTGCAGGTAGTGTTTCTACCCTGTCTGGCTTACAGAGTTGACACCTCAATCATTCACGGTGATAATAATGGCCTGAATATTTTGTGACAGGTAGTGCTTCTGCCTCACTGACTACACCATGCCACAGGGTCTCTGTGTCTTTCACCAGCCAAACCCAGAACCATGACACTAGACACTTCTAGTTAAAGAACAAAAAACAAAGAGATACTAACTTCATATAGGCAATAAAGGTTTTTGTTTGAAAAATCAAGTACAACTGAAGTCTATTTTAAATAAAGCAAACTATTCTTGGGTTTAACAATCATATTTACTCAGTTTATAAGATTGGTACCAACCCATTCATTGCCCTTGTAGTCTGCAGTATAAAAGAATCTTAGGCATTTACCATAAAGGATTTGGAGAATTTGCCTGTAAAGTTCCTGCACATGTTATCTATTTAAAATAATTTCTAAGATGTTGATTTCACGATATCTCAGCAATTGTTCTTAAGTGAGTGAAAATTATACCTTATGTTTACTTTTTCAATCATGTACAATAAACTGAAGAGAACCTTTTTATTATAGATGTTGAGGAATTTTGTGTTCAATCTGAGAGGAGAAAGTTTAGCTTGCATTTTCTGAATTTTCATAAAATATTTGTTTGCCATTCAGCAGAATACTTTGTATAAATTATATTTTATGAACATTGCACTATAAATTTTTCACTGAAGAAATATTCCAATGTGTAATATTTTAAAATATCACATATCTATCAAGTTTGCATTTCTATTAAATGATCTGTATAGACTGTAAAATATTCTGTCTTTCCTCTTAGGGATTATTTGTAAGAAGTGGCAGAGCATTTTTTTAATTATTTCAGGTATGTAGAAGTCATTGTACTGCCTGGCATTCAAAGTGAGACCAAATGAGGAGAGAATGAAGAATTTTC
Organism: Homo sapiens; assembly: GCF_000001405.40. Lineage (NCBI taxonomy): Eukaryota > Metazoa > Chordata > Mammalia > Primates > Hominidae > Homo > Homo sapiens. The sequence goes on along the minus strand of NC_000016.10, from coordinate 76,359,419 downwards.
CCTGCAGCATTTCAATCCGTGTTGATTGTTTTTATTGCTTTTGTTCCTAAACCAGTAACACTTGTCTTTTGTTTTTCTATCACATACTTGTATAATGCCTTATGTGTTTCCTAACTCTCTTTCGTAGACTTATTTGCATCATGTGGAGCAGATTGTGAAGCTCTTAAAGGAAATTGGCATATTTTGTATAATTGGTATACATCCTATAATACCTACAAAAACTGAGCCAGAAAACAAAAAGTTGGGAAATACACATTTGTAAAATGTAACAAAGGGTTAAGTTTTTTTATGATGTACATCAATTTGAAATTGTTCTTCTGCTTAAAAAATGCAAATTGAAGTGGTCTGTGTTCTTCCAGGCAGAAAAGTCAAGAGACAGGGCACAATTCACCATATTTCAATTTTCCTGCTTCAGCAATTAGCGATTCACAGAGAGCTTCCTTTAGAGTGGGACCAGAGTAACTATGGAATAGAATAAAACTTTGAAGCTACCTAGGATTAACAGGAAATACATACACATACATACATATATATACACACACATACATATACACATACATATATATATATACACACACATACGTATACTTTCAGAGACTTGGGGTTGTTTTATCTACACTACAACTTAGCTATGTTATGTGTGGTAATGGTGTCTATTGTACTAAGTCTTAACTTTGATCTTGACATTTAAAGTTATCTGTCAACTTTCTTTGCCAGATCCAACATTATCTTCCAGTCTTTCCAAAACTTGATAGTCCAATGTGACCAGTAATCTCACTAGTTATTACACAGGAAACCATAACTCTGGATATCCCCAATGTCCATGCTTTTTTCACACCTTTCCAGCTTCATAAAATAGCCTCCTTAATCCTTCCATAATCTAAACTATAATGCTTTCTTCAAGACCTATGTAAGCCTTACTACTTTGACAAATTCAGCTTACAATGATCTCCATATTCTGTCCATTTCCAAATGCTTAGGAATCTGTATCTAATATTTGCATGTTCCGCTTAATCTTTCTTTGTTTTGCTCTGATATGCCTTATCTCTTCAGTGATTTTGTTGTTGCTGTTTGTTTTGTTTTTGAAATGGAGTCTTGCTCTGTCACCCAGGCTGGAGTGCAGTGGTGCAATCTCAGCTCACTGCAACCTCTGCCTCCCAGGTTCCAGTAATCCTCCCATCTCAGCCTCCCAAGTAGCTGGGATTATAGGCACATGTCACCATGCCCAGCTAACTTTTTTGTATTTTTAGTAGCGACCAGGTTTCACCATGTTGGCCAGGCTGGTCTCGAACTCCTGGCCTCAAGTGATCCTTCCACCTTGGCCTCCCAAAGCCCTGGGATTACAGATGTGAGCCAAAACGCCCAGCCTTCTTCAGTGAGTTAACATAAACTTTTGATACCTTCCAGAAATTTGGACAAAGATAGGCACAGATTAGCAGACTGACATACTCACATCCATTCATTTATTGGTCCTTTCACCTATTTAAGCAGCAAAAGTCATGTGCCACACTGGATGTTGGATACCAGAAATGCTAAGACTAGAAAAAGAAAATCTCGCCCATAAAGAAGTTCAATATCTATAGGGAAAAGAAAAATGTGCCATTCTAACTGGTATATTAAATTGGTATTAAATAGAATATAATAAAAAGAAGAGCTGATGGAGGCAAGAGAGAGTCACTTTTAGAGTGATCAGAAGAGTATTCTACAAGAAAGTGCATTTTATTCACTCATTGCTTCAATAAACATTTAATATTTGACTGTGACATGCCAGGTGCTCTTACACTTTGGGGATATTGAGATAAAAGATCGCAAGGTACAGTATTTACAGAGCTCACACTCAAGAAGGGAAGACACTGAGTAAATCAACAAATTACAGCAGAGTCTAGAAAGCAATGTTACCTTAACAGGATTATGATAGACGCCATGTTTTTACTTTTACTGGTTTGGACTAGTAAGGATATCATTCATGCCACCATTTCACCATGAGCGCCTCAACTTTAATAAGAGTAAGCAAGTAAGGTAAATGGCAGTGCCTGGGTTTGGCTTTCCCCAAGCTTGCTTAACAGAAGTACAACAATTTTCCTGATTGATCACTTTTTAAAAAAATACATTTTAATTAACATACCTAAATATTAGCATGCATTAGCCACTACTTATCTAGGTTAAATTCCAATGCTTAATTCAAAAAAGAGCAGAAGATAATCCAAACATCTAGTTAAATAAATATCTCATTAAGTTTTTATTGTTATTGGTTCATAATTACTGTTTATTTTATCCCTAGTTTGAGTGGCTTTCATGGAATTAGTTGAACGTAATACCCAGTGTTTGGAGTTTGGGGTGTGTGTGTGTGTGTGTGTGTGTTTTGTTTTGTTGTTTTGTTTGTTTTTTTTTCCTCTTACAGCTTCAACTTGCTTTGGATTTTAAACAGCTTTTCTTAAAACTGCTTATAGGCAACTTCTTCTAGTCCCACTGTTGTTCCCTCTAGAGAAAGAGCAGGGCTACTTCTCTCAATTCAATTTACATCAATAAGCATGGATTGAATGGCCACCAAGAGCTTTAAACATACAAAGGTGAGTAAATCACAGTCCATTTCTTCAATGAGTTTATAATGTATAACGGAGTTCTATGAAGTTTCAAAAAACAGGCAACTGACTGGTCAAAGAAAATTATCATTATGTGCCCAAATAGGCTTCCAAATTATCTGTGTGCTAAGAATGACGCTTCATTAAGTAACCCATTTTCTCTAGTTCCAGCAACTCAGCCAGAGAGGGGAGAATAGTTCTTTGATTGCAGTACATTGTTCTTAGCCCACATAAGATCCAAACAAATATTTTTCTGCACTAAGAAAGAAGTCTTTCCTTTGTTATCAAACAAACATCCTTTAGGTTCTTCTTCCATCAGGTGTTTATATGCCATATCCAGGTTTATTTATCAATCAACTACAAATATCACCCACTTTATCACAAAATGCCTCTTTCCCAGTCTCCCTCTTATAGGAGCTGCACCACTGTTTACAACACACAGCAATTTACACATTTATACACTTTACAGAGACTAGAGAAGGGTTTACAGATAAATCATATATATGCGTACATGTGTATGCATATACATACATATACAACTCCACATATTATATATATAAATCCCCATATACCAGAGAAAGAAACAGGGTTTCAAAAATCTCAGTTATCAGAAGAAATAAAAGGAACAAATTATTTTGACTAATTGTAAATAAAGACAATGCAGGCTGGGCTCAGTGGCTCATGCCTATAATCCCAGCACTTTGGGACGCCGAGACAGGTGGACTGCTTGAGGCCAGGAGTTCGAGTCCAGCCTGGCCAACATGGTGAAAGCCCGTCTCTACTAAAAACACAAAAATTAGCCGGGTGTGGTTGTGGGCGACTATAATCCAAGCTACTTGGGAGGCTGAAGTAGGAGAATCGCTTGAACCCGGGAGGCAGAGGTTGCAGTGAGCCAAGATCGCGCCACTGCAACCAGCCTGGGTGACAGAGTGAGACTCTGTTTCAAAAATAAATAAATAAATAAATAAATAAATAAATAAATAAATAAATAAATAAAAGACAATGCAAGACTATTATGTTTTTGAACAAAACTTTTTTTATACAAGTCTTATTTATTTCTTAGACTCCCACACTATTTAATGGACTAATAGGGTTTATTTTTCAATTTTTGAGAACCCTGTAATATAAATTTACCCTTAGTATTCTCATAAATTTACCATAAAATGTATTGGAAAATGATTATTTACCATATTTTCTCTTGGAAAATGTTTTCAATGTAAGTCTGCAGATTCTGTATGTCTACTTAATTTAAGAGATTGGTAAACAAGATGCAGTACTGATTATACTTTTTCCCCGAGAGACTATGTCTTTTGTTAAAGAACATACCCAGATGCTGTCCTCTTGGCGATATTGTTTCCAGTTCCAGCCACTATCACTGAACATCAGGAGGTAGCTGGTCACCCAGTTGGAGCTACCATATCCCCCTTGAGTGGCCACAGCGGTGACCTCCATTCTCTCTCCAAGGTCAATCTGCAACCACTGGTATTTGTTAGACACAAGTGGAGACCAGCCACCAGCTCCTTTTATTAAAAATAGAAACAGGAGAAAATTGAGAAAGGAAAGTTAGTTAAAAATCTATGTTTGTAAAGAAATGCCAGTACGACTGTATTCCTCTATGGAACTTAAATATCCAAAATATGAAACTTCTTATAATTGTAGAAAAATATAGAGGTAAGAATTTAGTATAATTATATGATGTCTATGTTAATTAATTGTATTCATTTCTAGATTTTATAGCCTTCTAAAACTGGGAGAACTAGGGGTCTTGCTGAATATTTAAAATGTTTAATATGATAGGTGAACATTCCTGCCAACACTGGGAACTTACTAGCATGTCTACTGCACACATGTAATGGTGTGCTCTGCTACCCCTTTGCCCAGGACTGGATGTAAGGAAGTAACTTCAAGCTATGAAGGAACTAAAGCTGTGGTGGAACTAAAAATCTACTTGTGATCATGTTTAGACTTAGAGAAGGGAGGACATTGTTAAGTCTGGGAAAACAAAAGTCAAGAAATAGTTCCTGGCCTCAAGATGTTTACAGTCTTTTGGGAGGGACAGATGTTGAAAACCACATTTGAAACACACATTAATGATGGCGTGTTTGCAGGAGAAAATAACACAACTCTATCCAGTGGTGGGTTGGAGCTTGTTCCCAACAGTTTGTGAGAGACAATCATTAAATTTTCAATTTTGCAAGCTAGTTATTAAACATAACCATCTTTGCAATTGGCCATGATGAGAGTATTTAAACCACGGAAACTGCAAACTCTGCAAATAAGCACCTGCCCTCACCCCAGCCAGTTTACCAACACACCACTGTTTCTATCCTATATGGGAGCAGGGTGGTGGGTAAGAGGATGGGGGAAAAGAGAACCAAGGAAATCATAGAGCAAGCTGTGCTTGATCACTCAGAAGTAAAGAATACAAGTTGTGATGTATGTTCAAAGAAGTAATGTGCACAGCATAATTTACTGTGTTATATTTGATCCAACACACACCAAAATACTGTAGATGTGACTCCTGTATATCGTGTTAAGATGCTTCATTCTTCCAGTTTAATATAATAATTTGGGGAATTATTTTAAGAATTATTTAACATTGCTGATTATGTAAGTAACATATAATCATTGTAAAAGTTACGAAATAGGGTTTGACTCATTCTTGAATCCATATTATCTAACATTTAATGTTTATTAAAATGCCACATCAATTATATAGCACCCCAAATAAGAATGTTAGCACATTTTCTTCCCCCATTCTTTTGCTGCTCACCTTGAGGCTCTGATAATAAGGTCTGGAATTTTAGATACAGATTACCATTAATTTATATAGTTTTGATTCAAGCATTATTCTTGGCATACATGACCCATTTTATGAAACCTTGAGTACAAGACCTAATTCAAAGAAATGCTCAATAAATGTTTGCTGTTATGGTAGGGCGTATGCCATTGTAGGACCTGAAGGCACACACCAGTGTTGACAAGTACTTTATAAGACTTCAAGATTATTTTGATGGTGGAACACAGCATAATGATACTCTGATAGATGAAGGGCAGAACTCTGCTACTTACAACTACTAACAAGAGAAGACGCCAGGCAGGACCACACATGGGGATGCACCAGAGGACAGCATAAGGGTAAACTGGAGCTGTAGGAGGCAGCTTCTGTATGACAAGCAGGATAGGGCTAGCTAGCTAGGCTTGGTGGGCTTCCTGTGAATTGGCTAATCTGAACAATTTATCTAGGAGGCACTAGGACACCCCTAGTTGTCTGGTACCTGTCCCAGCAATGATGCTTAACAACCGCAAAGGGTGAGAACCTAATAAAGGAAGTGGTTGGAGTATGGACATAATCAGCTGCTAAGAAAGGAAAGTGACCAGTCCTGGCCGGGGTCAAAACTGTGTCAAAGCAGCATTTTAAAAAATTGCATTACAACAAACTGCACATGTACTCCTTAATCTAAAATAAGTAAGTTGAAATTCTTTTTAAACATTATATTACAAGAAGCTCCTCTCTTGATGGCATCACACTAATGACTGCTTGCATTCAGGTATAATCCCTGTTTCTTACTATACTGTCTTTAGAATTAGATACATCATCAAATTTCCATCTTTCTTCAAGTGAATCATTGTTCAAAACTGTATTCCACTCCATGTGTCAAAAGCACAATGCTCTTCCTCTTTTGTGGATCCAGAAATTTTTTACATGCTACAAGTTTTGTTTATGCGTTTTGACTTTTAATTTTCTCTGTATTTGTTCTTAAAGAACCTGTGATTTGGGGTGCAGTTTCGTTGTACACCAATATTATCTACCTTTATGCTTATAAAGCAGAATATTCTCATCTTTTAAGCAAGAGGGCTTGTTGCATAGACATGGTCCCTTGGTGTCTTGGGGTCATTTGTTTAGCATGGCCCTGCTGTCCGTGAAGGGTACTTCCTACCCTTGCAGACTGTTATTTATACGGAATGTGTTCTTGAATGATCTGAAGCACACTTTAAATAGCACCCTCCCACAAATAGCTCGGGGAGTTCTTGAACTCTGCGGGAACTGCTCCTGGGGCATTATTTTAAAATCTGAATCAATGCTTCCTCCATCCTTCATTTTTCAGGATGTGATGAAACACCATCCATCCTCCTCTACTTATTCTAATACTGTATTACTTCACATTTGCTGAGCAAGGGAGTCCTTTGTGTCAGGCACTTTGTTGAAGGCCTTGTAAATTAATTCTCAGTGCAGTCTACATAGTAGATGGTGCATCAGATACAAAGAGTTTGAACACTTTGCCCTCATCCATGGAGCAGGCAAGAGGCACCATGCCCCTAACTAGGACACCGCAGTGCCTCTCATAGGTCAGGATGCAAAGGTGGGAATCAGTGGTTCCCAGTGGATGTAGAAAAGACTCACTGGTGCTCCTGGAGATCAGGGAAGCTCAGGATTAAGCTACCAGGCAGTAGGGTCAACTTCCCTCCCTGTAGTTTACAATGGACCGTGTCTTTGAAGTATAGGCACATGATGGACATGGCGTGTGGATGAGTTTTTCTCTCCACTGTCCTATCTAATTTTATTCTTTCCCTCCAGGCCCTGTCAAAACTTTAGAAATTGAAAGACTTCTAGGGTCTGGTACTAATCAAGCATCTTGAATTCTCTTATTGCTACAACTGCATATCTCTCTGTATTTTTGTCATTTTTTTTGTTTACAAGAAAAAGTTAGGAAAGGGTGAATGAAATGCCCCTATAATGTCACCCTCTCAGCCTGGAAATTCCACACTTGGAATTGCATCTGTGTCAGCTAATACCTTTGAGAAAACACTGATTAGTTTCCTTCTTGCCCTTTCTAGTTAATTGTAATGGTCTAAAGCTGGAATTGAGAATATGTTTTCCTAAAATCCAGAATTTCACAGTATTTCTCTTGCATTTCCATGCCTCTACAGGCCAGTATTTTAAAAAGCGAACACATGACAGCAATGCAGCAAGAAGAAAAGAATCAGTGTGATTCTAGTGAGTTAAAATCGGATCATCAATTCTCATCAGGAGAAAGAGGAAGCCCTCACTGACTGCTCCCTCTTCCTAGCGCTGCTCACAGTTACAGCTGCACCAGCCAACTTGAAACATTCACAGTTAATTGACCTTGAACATTTCAATTCCTTACCTGGGGTGAAAAGGTACTACTGGTATGCAAATTAAGCTATATCATTAATGAGGTACACTGATAAAGTAATGGAAATTCAGAGGCTTCTAGGCTATACCAAGTAATTTCAGCCAGATAAGTTGGCCAGAGGGAATCCAAATATCTCTACCGGGTTTTAAGCTGCGCAGCTCTGCAGATGCACATGGTATTAGCGTGTGATAGAGTGTTAGGCTTGTTCTAATTTTAAGACAAATGCTAAATAGTAAAATGGAAGACATAAGCTAGACAGATAGACTGAGCGATAGAGATAAATTGATTATTCTTTGCAGAATTTTTTTTTTTTTTGGGCCAGCCTATGATGACAGCTAGTGACATGAAATGCAAACGTAACTGCAGCTGAGGTTAGACCACCAGCCGTATGGCCACCGCCAAACCGCATAGCCCTCGGAAACACACTATTGTAATATTTACTTTGTTAACAGAGAAAGTGATGACTAACTCCAGCAAATTATAAACTCTGTATTACTATCAAATAAACTGTATTTATTTTATTAAGAAAACCTTTTAACTGCTAGTTAAGTGTTATTTGACCTCGTGATTTTAGTATGCCAATATATTCAATATCCTAAGAAACCAATTCTTATGAAACTAAAGACCATCTTTTCTCAACCCCATCTCTTCCATGGTTAATGATAATTTACGCACAAAACAAAAACAAGAGTCTTGCCCCCACCAGTTCCTATTTGTCCCCATACTGCAGGTTTCCTTTACCTGTTCCACCGTCCTCTTTCTCCTACCTTAACTTTGTTACTGAGACTTGGCATAATAGTGTCATAAATCTATTCAAATGGAAAAATGTCTTAACTTTTCATATTACAGCCTGAAAACTCACATTTAAAAATAAAAGTTCTCCCCATTCACAAGACTCTTAAATGCTGTAGTATTGTTATGAGAATTAAATTTTAAAAGCATATTAAGTGCCTATTGATTTCTCCCACATTCAACAAACATCAGAGTATATGGCAGTTAGTGCTTTTTGAATTACAAAAATTATTATTGCTATTAGCTCCAAAGAGAGTTATGATCACAGCAAAGTTGAGCTTTGAAAAAATTTTGTAACTGATTGACCGCAAAACACAGCATCTCTTTTATTTGTTGCCTACCACTTTTCAACATCAGATTTCTGAGGGACTTGCTTCTGTAACATGTGTTGCTATGAATTGTAAGAAAAGCAAACTAAAAATTATCCAGTGCCTATTGTATGCTAAGCACGCTACTAGAAATTGTATACGTTGTATTAACTTAATTATTAAAATTATCTAGTGAGATGAAGTATGCTTTAACATCTCTTTTAAAAAGAAAAAAAACAAAAGTATTTACAGAGGCTAAGTAAATTTTCCCAATACTATGCAAATACTTTAGTGCAGGTGAGAAATTACTTATTTTTAATACTATTTTAATCAGTGGGAGGATGTCACTTTACATATCACCCCATTTTTCATTCTTTACCCCTGGAGTAATTACAACTATCTTTGACTCATAGTAGTATATTTTATCCCAAGAATATGTTCAAATAATTTATTCTGTGTGATTTAATTATAAATTACCTGGCTGGCTGAATCATGTTTAAGACTCATATATCCCATCTACTAAATATCACCAATATTTAGTGCTGGTAAGGGAGACACATCTTAAAATTTCAGGGAAGTAAAAGGAAAAAGTGAAGAAAAAATACTCTTAGTTGGAGCTTTAAAATATAGATAAGAATCACCTTTATCCCGTAGTAATATTAAAAATGGCATGACAGACATTCCTGGTGGTCATCAGTAAAGGCGACGTATCAACTTTATTCAAGTAGAGACTGCAGAGACAGAAGGAATTACATTTCTTCCTCGAGATTTTAAAGTGTAAAAGGACACAGATGTTCAAGGACACAAAACACAAGTGAACATAATTGAATGATGGTTCTAGCCACCATTAGGACATCTAAATTCCTAGAAAATAATTGGCTTAATTAAAATTGTCATAAGAAAGTTTCCCTCCAAGATAATTACTTTTTTTTCAAATGCGATTTCATCTAGATTTCCCCAAGAGTCCAAGTTTGCCCAGATCATTTTCATCTTGACATAAAATTATAATAATGTAAGGAAATGGAAAGAACGTGGTACCAATATTTGTTTGGCTCCCTTAAATGGTGTGCCGTGTCCCCAGGCCACCATTTAGAGCCTTTTAATAGCTTTGTATTTTTACCAGTGTTGTTTGTTTCAGCTGGAAGAGAACGTGACTCTACTGATGCTGTGTATGTTGCTGTCGGTCTGTTCTCATGTTCACTTCTCCATCTTGACCTTGCCTACTTTGACCACAGTGATTGTTTCAGGGATGGGCAGGTGACCTTGAGCCATGACCATGGAGCAATTTCAGGATTTTGTGAGGACATTTGGAGAACAGACTCTTTTCTGCTATTAATGCTGAGAAGATAAGATACAGGCATCAAGCTGTAGGAGGTATTGTTGTGGAAAGCCTGTCTGAGTGAGGCCAAAAGAGAGAGAAGGAGAGTTGAGAAATGAAGTGAGATCAAGTTCTGAAAACAAGATCAGGACCGCTAGGTCCTGCTGTGCCTGCAGAGTGTTTGCCGTGCTTTCTAGTTACATAAGACATTCGTTGGGCCCCTTGCTTGTGCTGATCCTTCTCACGGTCACCGCTTTAGCAATTCTCCTCTCTCCTGCTTCATTATTTTTATATTCTCTTTAATGGATAATTCCCATCAGTACACTGTTACATCAGCATGCTCTTATTTTTCTCATTTTAAAAGAAAAAAAACTTCTCTTGACCCCATTCTATTTTTTTTTTTGGCTTCTTTTAATGTTAACAGTCTTCAAATAATATAGGTCCACATCACTCTCCAATTTTTCTCACCCCATTCCTTCTTGGGCCGACTCCAATCAGATTTTCACTCCCTGCCACTCAACTGCAACTGCTCTTGTCAAAGTCACCAAGAACTCCATGTTGCTAAATCCAGCGTTCAGGCTTCAGTCTCCTGTTCACATGGACAATCTGTGGCGTTTGATACTAGTGATCATTCTCAATGCCCAAATAGACTTTGCTCACTTAGCTTCCACAAAAGCACCTTCTCTTAATTTTCTTGCTACCTAATTGTTTGCTCCTTCTCGCTCTCATTGCTGGTTTCTTCTTTTATCTCACATGATCTTTTAAAGTTGAGACTCTCCAGGTCTCAGACCTTTGCTCTCCTTCTTTTCTCTCTGCATTCACTCCCCGTTGATCTCTCTTAGCCTGATGAATTTAAGCATTACCCACGTGTCAAAAATTCCCTTATTCATAAATCTGCCTACACTCCTTCCCTGAACCCAAGACTGGAGAATTCTATTCTACTTGATCTCTTTAACATTTCCAAAACTGATTTTCCATTCTCCTTCTGAATCCTACTCTATTCACATCCTTTCCCAGCCCCATATAATGGTAATCTTATCCTTCCAGTTTCTCAGTACAAAAAAAAAAAAAAGAGTCACGCTTGACCCCTTTCTTTCTCTCATACCACACTACCAAACCACCAGAAGATGCTGTTGGTGCTGCTTTATTATTAAGAATCCTGCTGTTTTTCTGCCTTCATGGATGCTCCTTTGATTCAGGCCATATTATTCAACCCTGGATTCTTGCAACAGTCACCTAGTAAGTCTCTCTTTCTTCCTGTGCCCACTGAGATTCTATTCTCTACACAACAGGTGTGAAATATTATACCTGTGCACAAAATACTGCAATACTGCAAGAACTCTCAACTCTACAGAGTGAAAGACGAAGTTCTCACTATGCCACCTGCAATGTCCTCAATGATCTGCCCCCTTAAACCACCCCCATATCATCTCTACCTTCTCTCTTTTTCTTCTTCCCAGTTCACTGCCCTCCATTTACAATGGCCTCCTTGCTGTTCTTTGAATAAACTGAACATCAGTCATTTTCCATCTCAGAAGCTGTATTAAGCTCTTGTTTCTGCCAGGAATGCTCTTCTCTGAGATACTCTGGGCTAATACCTTTGCTGCCTATAAGTCTCTTGCTCGAATATTACCCTGTCTTAGAGGCTTGTATCTCCTGTCCTCCCATTTAAAATTCCTTCTGCTCCGCAGTCCTACTCCCATTTGTCTTCCCCTGAACCACTTTTTCATTTTTGACAGAAATCTCCATCTTTTTTATATAGCATATGATTTTTATGTAGTATCTTTAGTGTTTATGTATTATATTTATTAGAATACAAGCTCTATGAGACCAGGGGTCTTCACCTGTTTTATTCATTGATAGACCCCAAGTGTCTAGCACATTGCTGGACACATAGTAGGTGCTTAAAAAAGTATTTACTGCATATAAGATTGAAATAAAATTGTAGTCACGTGGGTATAACATGGTCTAAATTTATACAACCTACTGAAAAAGCTGGAACTGTACCCAAACTGAAGGCACAGAATACTGTTCTTTGATGCACGGTATTTTTTATGAAGTTTTCAAACAGAAGTTTAAGCACTCAACTGAGATACACACACACACACACACACACACACACAACCAATTGCCTCACACCTACACAGCTTAATCATTTGTAAACTACATTTCAAAGATGTATGTATTGCTTTGTTTTGGAATTTTTGATACGATGAAAAAGAGATGCTTTTTCACTTCAACTCCCCAGCAAGGTTCTTAATTAATAATACCTCACTAAATTGTCTTCTGTTTTAGTTCTTTGCTGTCAATCAATATTCCCTCATGGCAAACTGGCAGACTGACTTTCAGTCTTACTTCTTGTATTGCCAGACTGGACATTTCTGAAATCTTTAATAATGCAGTGCTTTGAAAAGTAAATATTTACAAGCTTTATCTATGCAGGCATTTTGATTTGTGTATTTGATTTGCAAATTTTATGACAGCCAAGTTTCCCCTGGAAGACTAGAATAAAGTTACAAATATGCCAAATTCTGTGCCTTAATTTTGTTTTTACCACAGATAGGTTTATTTCATTCAAACTAGTAGTTTTGGAAAAATGATTTTTAGCACATAACGTCTGGAAATTCAGATGATAATCAGGATCTGCCCATGTTTTGCTTTCTAAGCCCATTATAATACCTTTCTGAAAGTTTTGATTTAGATCTTTTACAGGAAGGCAGGTCATTTCAGTAAATGACATCATGCATCGGAGAGAGCCTACTGGCAATATCCCAGAAATTTAAAAACCATTTTTTGCTTCTCTACCTTCTTTTTTTTTTTTTTTTTTTATCTTCCCTAGCCAGACTGAGATGATAAGCTGTCATGAGCCAAATATTCTCATATCACTCCTTCTGGGTCAACAAACTGAAGTCACTCTCCTGTACCCAACAGACATCATTTCCACTTAATGGTAGAAAAGCCGGCATTACTAGGGCATAGTATATCAAAAAGGTAAAGTGCAAAACCAATTTCAGACATTCGGTTGATTAAATCATTTAATATTTCCCCAATTAGTAAAATGCTAGAACACATTCGTATAGCATTATGTTCCCAATTCATGAGATTTGTTTACCTCTGGGCTTAAGTATTTGTTGAATTCGGTCTTGAATACACATATCTTATAGAATTACATGCTTTATTTATTTATTTTAAACAACAGACATTTATTTTTCACAGTTCTAGAGGCTGAGAAGTCCAAGATCAAGGGGCTGGCAGATTCAGTTCCTGGTAAGGGCTTGTTCCCTGGCTTGTAGACAACTGTAATAATTTTTGTTTCACAGGCAAGAAGGGACATTATTAGTGATGTATGTGATGAAGACAGCTTTAACATTGCCCTCAACTCAACTGTAGACAAGTTTCTTTCTGACTTTAAGCTCCTGACCTCCCTTTTCATACAGCATTTACTTTATAAAACTTAATATTGTAAATTCTGTCTCTGCCCCTTGAGGTGTAAATCTTCATCCAGCCTCTTGCCAGTTTTACAATCCAGGGATATCTTTCTCAAGGACCTGGGAGCCACCCCTTTGAAATGTAATCATCAAGAAAGACAGGACTTCCATCTTCCAGGCTCTGTGGGAGGGTAGGAGCCTAACTTACATAAGATCCAATTAGCAAACACAGATGGCCTTATCACATTGGCCAAATCCCCCCCGCATCCCCAATGTCCTCCAGTGTATTTCCACTAGCTCAGCCCAGCGCTTCAACGGAATTGTTTCAATGGAATTGAGTTCAATCCCTCTCCCAATACTCTTGACCTCTGTCACAATACTTTTGAATAGCCTTCCTTGACTGCTTCACTCAATTCAGTGCAATTTTTCTTTGACAGGAAATCACTGTTTTGTTTTTATTAAAACAATGTGTTTTCCATGATTCTGCCTAATGAATCATACTCCCCAGTAACCTAACCATTCAACAGTCAGAGCCTAAGAGAAGAAGCTGAAGAGCACTGCCTAGAAGTGAATGTGGGTCTGGCTGGGAGCTAGCCAGAGGAATTCTTCCTGATAAGTGGCAATACTCAAAGGCTATTACACAACTGCTGCATCCATTAGCCAAAAGAAAGTCACAGCCAGCTTCAGGAACTCTGAATAGCCAACAAGAAGTATCATGGGGCCCAGTCAGTAAAAGGTGTCTTTGCCAAGAGACCATTCAAAGGAATAGATGGGTCACTAAATGTCATAGTGTATATCAATAAATATCCAGTGTTAGGATCAACTCAATCAGACTCAGATGTCACTGTCCTTGGCACAGAGATCCAACCAACAATCTTGTGGTAGTCACTAGCAAAATAACCAACATTAGCCAGGGGAGCCCCCATCTAACCGTGCCATGACATCATATGAGTACATTATATACCCACTGCCATTTTGGAAAAGAGTAGAAGGTTAGGAAATCAGAAAATCTGAGTATTTACCTAGAAGGAACTGACACAACCGAAAGAGGTGACTTTATCTAGCAGAGGCTAGGGATTTTGAGATGATCTCATATACGATCATACACGGAAAATAGTCTCTGGACTAAACAACAAATAGAATCTCTCTCATCTTGACAATATTCATAACTGCTAAAGTTTTGACAACACTGAAAAATATGGAGTATTTTGTGTTATTCCTCAACTATTAATCTAATATTCAGACTCAGCGGTTTAGAACTGGCCTAAGAAAACAGTATCAACCAATTTCAGATCTGAATGATTAATACACCGTAGTAGTACTGTAAGATATCTCACTGTATGTGCATGAGTATTTTGTTTGGGTGCTTAACATCCCCAAATCTGCTAATACATTTACATATTATGACTTTATAAAACGGTATGTGGATTATCAAGAATAATGCTGTTTGCCTGTATAGATAGGTGGTCAGAAGAATTAATGCATCTATCCAATTCAAAAAGCATTTTGCCATATGTATAGCATTGGTACAGTCACATTCACATTCTGGGGCAGAATCACTTCACATTCATTGGGCATCACAATGATTTTTTCTACAAACTGGACAGACATAAGCAAATATATATATATATATGTGTGTATGTATGTATTTTCACTGTTCCCAGTGTACATATACATACATACATGCTGGCTTTAACAGATGTGTTCTACAATAGACTGATAGGGTGGTATGCAAAGAGAATTCAGAGTTTGAAGCTAGCAGGTACAATATTCCCCTATGCATGCATTCAATTCTAGAAATGCTTTCAATTGCAGACCCTTTTACTACACAATGAATTGCTTCCTGTAACATCCGTGCACCCTGGCTAGTTCCATCTGGCTCCTGGCCTACAAACAAATGAGAGGAATGCACAAGGGTCATGATTTTATGAAAAATGTAGAGAAAAGATTTGCTATTATGAGGTTTATGTCAAAATCATGATACATTACCATTACTTTTGCCGGGGACTAACACATTTAGATTTGTTTGCCTTATTCTTGATTATTACACGTGTTTTAAATGATTTCTTTACCTCATCAGACAAAAAAAAAATGAAGTTTCAACATATTTGATTTTTCAGTATTACATTGTGTTAAAATGGGGAAGAGAGCAAATGTAAGCAAATGTAACAAACCATTGGTGGGTGATTTTTCCAATCTAGGCACTTTTATTTATTAATCTGATTTTAACCTGTGGTTATAAACGTGTAATTATCCTTGTTGTTGTATCTCCTAACCCGAGATTTAAAACTCTTCTCAGATTACATGCTACTAGTTATTCTATATTAGAAAAAGCAGGCGAATGTTTCCCTGGATTTGCCAAGAAAAAGATCAGTCAGGGTTTTGAGGGAGCATGATCAAGTCTGTCAGGATGTGAAAGATGCACAAGTGAGGCAGAAGAGGGAAAAAACATATCATTTTGCTCTGTTTATCTCCATCTTATTTCTATTTGTAATGTATAATGGAAAGTTCTAAATTGTCCTTTTTGATAAAAAGAAAGTCTCACAATGCAACCTCATTTTCACTCAAACCAATGAGGCCTTTCATCGGATTGTCAGGCCACCTATCACAGTTCATGGTTCCCAGTGTATATTGATCCACTGAGTCATAATAAAGCAGTGCTTCCAGCTGGGAATGAGAGTTAATGCCAACATTTTCTGGATCAGAAAAGGTGGACCAAAAAAAAAAAAAAATAGGTTATGCTTCTGCCTAGCCAATTTCAAATTGCTTCTGGCAATACTATGAATCTTATCCACACCCTTGCATTTTCCTGAACGCTGTTACCACAGAGAATGTGGCAGCTGAAACACGGCATCCCAGCAGAAGCAGCTCAATGCACATTCGTGATGAGAGCTACAGTAATTGTGAAAAGCAAATACTTTTGATAAGCAAAATGGAGAATCTATTACTAGCATGAATTACGTTGCAGTTGTTATTGCTTTTATTATATCTGTTTTCTGAAAATTTGTAACCCACAGATACTTAGGAATATAAAACAGGTCAGTTTGTCATTGTTTGAAATATATGTTCAGAGTTCAGAATTTTACTTAAGAAATTAGCAATTTATGCCGAGGTGGGCAGATCACGAGGTCAGGAGATCTAGACCATCCTGGCTAATACGGTGAAACCCCGCCAGTACTAAAAATACAACAAATTAGCCAAGCGTGGTGGCGGGTGCCTGTAGTCCCAGCTGCTTGGGAGGCTGACACAGGAGAATGGTGTGAACCTCGGAGGTGGAGCTTGCAGTGAGCCGAGATTGCACCACTGCACTCCAACCTGGGCGACAGAGCAAGACTCCATCTCAAAAAAAAAAAAAAAAAAAAAAAAAGAAATTAGCAATTTATAATTTTAGGAAATATAATATTTGTAGAGTCAGCCAAACTCAATAGACAACCATAAATGTCAAAAACTTTGTTTTCATTTAATGATGCCAGTTTTTCCTTCAACAGATGCATAACTGAGAAGAAGAATATTGTGTTATATAATTGCCCTTTGTGAAATTTTTAAAATCCATCACTTTTGCAAAATTAAATGCAAGCCTGGATGTAATATTTCTAGCATTTTATGCTCCTTTATATAAAAATGGGAGGGACAATATGACAGCCAGGGGCATTATATTTAGGGGAATTCCCAGATGATCTTCATACACAGTTTCCATAATGAATTTCTGATTTGCATGATTCTTGAGGGATGATGCTTTCAAAACAAAGGAACAGCAGCTTTTTGCTTCTGCTATGCTGACATACTGCATCTGTAGAATATCCTTCTACGTCAATAAATGAACTGAGAGAAAACTCATCAGCAAAAACATCTAGATCAGAAGTCATGACCAAAATTCTGTCACTTCGGGCAAGCTCCTCCTTCTGTGACTCGATAGGACATGGCAACTTCTTGGGTTTTTTTCTAAACTTCCCTGACCAGCCTTTTTCAGCATCTTTCATGGAGCCATTTTTCTTTACTTTCGCTAAAAAGCTAACACAACTCTCATTTTCTCTTGCTTTACATCCTCACTGAACTACACATCTCATGCTTGTGGCTACAATGATTTTTTTTTTGGATGCTGAAGACTAAATCTATTTTTCTAGCTCTGATCTTTCCTTTGAAAGCCATATCCCAAATCCTGAATGCCTCCCATATATCTATTCATGGATGCCCTATAGATTTGTTAAACTTAACATTTCAAAAATGGATGTTTTACCTCCTGTCAAAACCAGATGGCCACATAATTCTAGCCTTCCATTCATTCGGACTGAAAATGTTAAAAATCATTTCTAATTACTCCCTTTCAGTAATACTGTATAGAAGTTGCCAAATCTGGTCAGTTTAACCTTCAAAGTCATTTCCATTACAGCCCTTTCCTTGGCTTTGTCCCTACCTTAGTTTGAGTCCTTATTAGTTCAACAACTCAATTAAAAAATAATTTCACTGTTTATCAGCTTGTCACTGGGTGGGGGGCAGAATTTGTACATTTCAATGGAACACCATCTAGACATAAAATATATTGTATTTGTCTGAGAAAAATGCATTTGTGCTAGGTGGAAGGACAGGTTTAAGATCCTAAGTTAAGAGGCACAGAAAAGAGGTAAAGACTCTCAATGAAAAAGTTGAGGAAGATGTCAGGGAGAGCTGGCATCTACACTTATACTGAAGGACTAACAGGAATGACCTAGGAGGTGAAGAACGAATAATGGCTTTCCCATAAAAAGAGCAGAGGCAAACTCCAGAAGTGTGAGAGGCTGTAGCACATTAAGGAGCTTCAATTTGTCCGAAATAGTTGGAGCAAAAAATATAAAGTGTCAGAAATTGGACTGACTGTTGAAAGATGGGACTGAAATGGTGAGCAGGAGCCAATCTTAAGGGCTATAAAGGATATACTAAACAGTGGAGAAGGGAAAATTAGCACCACTGGAGGATTCTAAGGAGTACATTGCTGATTGGCAGTGCAGACATATCTCCTTGATCAAATTTTAGCAGAGAGAAAAAGAGTAATCTTGGGGTTGTTGTATTAATCAGAGTTAGGAGTTCTCACGCTTGAATAAATATAATGTTCTACTAGCAGGCAAACGCCACGAAAGTGAGCAAAACAGAAGTAAGTCTCTGCCTTCCTGATGTTTGCATGCTAGAATAGGTGTTGGCACATAGGAAACTCCCTATAAATATGTATTGAATGAAGACATGAAAGCATCGGAGAAAGTTTAGTGAGGTAGAATTGGCAGGACTTGGTGATGTGGGTAACCCATAAATAGTAGGCATTGGGAGCGCAATCAGATGTTGGAGAGGGATAGGGCAAAGTCCAGGGTGGTCGTTTGAAAACATTCTGGGTGGTGGTGCTCAGAGTCAAGAGTCATTAGTACAAGGGAAATTTGAAAAATGTAAATTGAAGCAACAGGAAACCTGAGCCACTACAAAAGATTTAGGATAACCTGGAGTGATTTAATTTAGAATACAGGGACAGCTCTCCTTGGGTGATGAGAATGAAGGAAGCAAGGCCTGTGGGATTTGGGTAAGCATATAGGATTTGGGGGGGAACTTGGGCAGCTATGTTCCTGCTTCATGGCCTTCCCTTCCTAGAGATCTTTAATACGTGCCTCTTAAATAACCAGTCCCTTCTCACTGTTGTTTCCAGAGTTGTTTTGGTAAAAGCAGGTTGGATGGTATTTTTCCTGGTAGCAAAAGGCATCCTCTTGATGCAGCATGTAACACAAGCCCAATCTGACAGTGGAGCCTAAGAAAACCGTGCATTTTTCTATGAAACCTGTTCTTGTTCTCCACAATTTTATTTGAATTATACATGTTCTTATGCCTCTCACTCAGCCAGGACTTCCTTCCCTCCACCTCCCAGCTGCAGTTAAAATATCAACTTTCCCATGATTTAGCTTGTTATATAAGAGCTTTGTAATATAAAAGAATACAGTTTGCTTTTGTTTGTTAAATTAATAGCTAAGAATCAAATCTCGTATTAGAAAGCCATGGACATATTTGAATGGAACTTTTACCAAAACTTGTGAACTGCTCAAACATAAAAGCGAGGCTTCTCATTAGTTGAGCTGTTATTGTTCTAATATGGCCAAATTCAGAGAAATGGAAATAAATTAGATAGATTCTGAGATAACTTCAGAAGGTCAAAGGGCTGTAAGAGCTTTGTCTTTCCCATAACAAAAGTAAAATGACAGACCTTTGTAATGAGCAAAGGCGACATTTCAAACGATCTTAAATTCTCTTTGTGTCATTTCTTTTCTAAGAAATAGTTTTGATTAATTCCCATCAATCTTCTCTAGAGTGTCTGAAATGTGTTTTGAATTCCAATGAATAAATGAGTATTTGCTGAATATTAATGTCATCTAGTATCTTAACATAAATATCTTAAAATTTAAATTAATGTGGTGTTTAGATTAAGTGTTTAAAGTTTATATTTTTCAACAATCTAAACACTATGTATAACCTATCGTAGTAGCTTTTTAAGCTAGGAAGGAGGCAGAAATGAGATGTTATATGTTGAATGGGGAGGGGCTGACTATGCACTTTAAGACATTTCCAATTGTTAATAAACATTATAGAAGCTCAGTGATCTCTGGCAGCACAAGACATTAGACAGTTAAAAAGACCACTCTTTTAAAAATCTCTAAATGCCACCTTTCATAGCAAAGCATATAGAATGTATCTCCCTAATCGCATATTCTGATTACAGCTTTTAGGACTAGATCACACACAGAATTTCAAACACAGAAACTACTGTGTCGAAGGGCTTATTAATATCATTCTAATCACTACTACTACCCTCAATTTTCATCCTAGAAGCCAAACCAAAATGTGATCAATATATTTATCAGCACATAATCAAAAGAAATGCTGGGAATGACTCTGGATCTGCTGGCTATAAACAGAGATCACTTCTGTATTCTACAGTGTACTAAGGGCTTCACTGTCCTAATTTGTTTGATTTTCACAATAATCTTACACAATGGAAATTTTTTTTCCCCACCTTAAACATGAAGAGACTGAGCCAAAAGGTTGTAAAGTCACTTATGAAAGGTTACAAAGATCTGGTAAAGTCAGGCAAACCCTGAAAACAGTCTGTCTCCAGGGTCTGTTCTTCATCTCAGATGATGTCATTTCCTCCTGGAGTTCATCTTTTATAAAAGAGTAAGACAGCACATCAGCAGGTGATGCAGATTACAAGAGGGACTGAAATGGAATGAGCACTTGAGAAGTTCAGGGTGTGGAGAGCACTGCTGGCTGAATGGTTAGGGAAGCAGAAACATTTCACTTGGGTTCCAGGGTGGGACACTGGAAGGCCACAGTGAAGGATTGGAGCCTTCCAAGCAGAGGAATGACATGAGGGCAAACCAATGTGAGGCACATCTTTCAGCACAGCAGTAATTGGACTGAAGGGAGTGAAGGGAGCAAAGGGAATAGAGGGGGCAACAGGAGGGCAGTTGTCATCAAGGCAAGAAAGGAGAATGGAGCCAGATTGTTATGGGAAGTCGGGGACCCCGAATGGAGGGACCAGCTGAAGCAGCAGCAGAAGAACATAAATTGTGAAGATTTCACGGACATCTATCAGCTCCCAAAATTAATACTTTTATAATTTCTTATGCCTGTCCTTACTGCAATCTCTGAACATAAATTGTGAAGATTTCATGGACATTTATCGCTTCCCCAATCGATACTCTTATAATTTCTTATGTCTGTCTTTACTTTAATCTCTTAATCCCGTCATCTTTGTAAGCTTAGGATGTATGTCACCTCAGGATCCTGTGATGATTGTGTTAACTGTACAAACTGTTTGTAAAACATGTGTGTTTGAACAATATGAAATCAGGGCACCCTGAAAAAGAATAGAACAACAGCGATCTTCAGGGAACAAGGGAAGATAACCTTAAGGTCTGACTGCCTGCGGGGTCAGGCAGAATAGAGCCATATTTTTCTTCTTGCAGAAAGCAAGTAGGAGAAATATCACTGAATTCTTTTCCCAGCAAGGAAGAACCCTGGGGAAGGAATGCATTCCCAGGGGTAGGTCTATGGACGGCTGCTCTGGGAGTGTCTGTCTTATGCAGTTGAAGATAAGGGATGAAATACACCCTGGTCTCCTGCAGTACCCTCAGGCTTACCAGGATTGGGAAATTCCAGCCTGGTGAATTCTAGTCAGATCAGTTGTCTGCTCTCGAACCCTGTTTCCTGTTAAGATGTTTATCAATACAATGCATGCCCAGTGGGACATGGAACCTCATCAATAATTCTAATTTCACCCTCTGCCTTGTGATCTTCTATTGCCCTCTGAAGCATGTGATCCCTGTGACCTACTCCCTATTCGTACACCCCTCCCCTTTTGAAATCCCTAATAAAAACTTGCTGGTTTTGCAGCTCAGGTAGGCATCACAGAACCTGTCGATATGTGATGTCACCCCTGGAGGTCCAGCTGTAAAATTTCTCTATTTGTACTCTTTCTCTTTATTTCTCAGACCGGCTGACATTTAGGGAAAATAGAAAAGAACCTACACTGAAATACTGGGGGCTGGTTCCCCGAATACCAGATAGTGGAAAGTCTTTCATTCAAGGCTAAGGAAACCTAACTCTCAGTCTTTCAGCATCCAAAAACCGCTTAGTGTGTGTTTGGTACACATGTTCATCACCAACTTTAGATAAATAAAAAGAATCCATCCAACATTTAAAGTGTACAGAATAAATAATATTTTAAGATCACTACTAATATTCATGAATATTTCAGGTTGTTTTATGAGAAGATAGTTTAGTATTTGCAATCTCCTACCAAGCTATAACCAGCTTGACAGCGGTTAGTTTGATCTGCATGGGTGGCTTCCAAAGCAAGTTGATTTAACTTCTTATTCTTGGTATTAATTAAATAAAAAAATTTAATTCATGAGTAGAGGTCACTGAGAAAAACAGAAATTCTGTGGCCCTAACAGAGATTTCTGGATATTTTGATCAAAGGTAGACATTGAATGAAGAAATGTCCTTCTTTAAGCAAAAAAGCAAACAACTTATCAACCAACATGTCAACTCAAAAGCTGGAGGTTTAAATGTGTTAACTTGGAATATATATTCTTACCACACCTAGTTGCTGTACACCATCTGGAAACAAGTTATTTAAGCTATGCTAAAGAACTTATATGTGCATTGTGAATATACACAGTAACAAATTCCTAACTTTACTTTTTAAAGCAACAAATAATGAAGTCCTGGCAACCTGGTTCAGGTCTTTTACATCACAGTTCAATTTTTAAAATAAAGCCTAAATCTTTTATCCAACATCATTATATTTTGGCTCATGAGTGATAAGTTCTGATCAGTGGTATGCTGGTAAGTGTTTAATAACTTTTTCTTTTGGGGGAAAAGTCTTGCTTTGTAGTATTTGTCAATTCCCGTGGTGTAAATGCTCCTTCTGTGGAAGATTTCAAGCTAACAACTTGATAATGCTGAGCTGGGAAGAGATGTTCACAGTAGGCTCCCACAAGCCAGCAGATTACTGTACATATCTCTGAGATAAGCTACTTAAGCAAAGCAGTTAGAATAATATTGCAGTTATGAATTTCTCAGTTACAGCCTCAAGTGTGAAAATCTGCATTTTTTTTCCCAACCCAATCTAATTTTCTATTTTTAGTTCCTATTCTTTCTCATGTAGAAAATCAACCTAATCATCCCAGAGGAAGTCAGTCCAGTTCACAGATTACTCAGTCAATTCAGGATTATATTTATGCCACCTTCAAATTTAACATGCCTACAGGGATTTGTCTACCTTTCCATCAACCCTGGAGTTAGTCCTAGGAGCAGTTGTGGTGGGGGAAGGGTCACACTTCTTGGTCTTCTGCCTGGACAGTGAACAATCCTATGATAATCAAGCAGCTTCCATTCTGCTCTGTGTTGGTCTGTTTCAGGTTAAGGATGTACTTGGTCATGACATTCTGATATCTCACACCCATCCCAGGTGTGAGACCTTGCCAACAGCACTGCCTCTACCTCCTGTGCTTCTCGGCACCCCCAGCAGCTTTTAGTTCTCCTCACATGCCCTCTGGGGCTGATAAGGGGTTCTTGTCACATGGCAATCTCCACATGGCAGCAACAGAATGACTTCGTGACTTTTCTTTGTTCAGGCAGTCTTTTCTCCAAGCTCGTACCCTAAGCACATCTTTCACATTCAGATAACTGAATGTGAAAGGAGGATTCCATACAGCCTCTCACTCTGGACTTAGTTTGAGGACAGGGCTTCAGAGAAAGTGATTCTTTATACTTGCTTGCTCATGTCTTACCCTCATCCTTCCTTTCCAAACTCTCCTTCCTCTCAGTAGGAAAGGGATAAAAGGGATGCCTTCTGCCTGCTCATCTTCCCTTTCAAATCCTTTATGTTTTAAGCCTTAAGGGAACAATGAGCTTTGTTCCCAAGCTGTGCAGTCATCTGCTTTCTCTTAAGCATTGAGTGACTCATGCCTGTCTGAGCTAGGTGGGAGATGAAGGGTTTGCAGAGATATTGTGTCTATTTCTACATCATCTCACACATAGAAATAGCCTCTGAGGGAATTATTATTGTCACTGAATGTGTTTTTATCTCATCCTTCCTTGCAGAAATGTATGTGCTCACCTTTTACAAGATCAACCAGCAAACTGTCATGCAGAAAAGCAGAATCTACTGATCACTTCACACATTACAATGAAAATAACCCACCTCACCCCACCCCATTCCCCTGTGACCTCAGTTTGATAACCGTCTCCCAACTCTCTTCTGTGAATAAAGCTTCTGGTGTCTATCGAGTGCTTGCCTCATTCTGATCCACAGCATTTTCCAATCTACAACACAATACACCAAATGATCACAAATACTAGAAAAATTCAACCTTTCCATCTGGTTAGCCTTGATGGCTCCTACAGTATGAGCTATCAAGGTTAACCAGATGGAAAGGTTGAGTGTTTTGCTCTTATCTAGGCAGGAGCAGAATTAAAACTCAGAAAATAAGTAGCTCTCATATTGAATAAAGCAGGAGTCACTAACACTTACTCAGAATATTGTTTCCTGCACGTCCAAAGCCACTAAAAAATACATGGGTTTTGACAGTGTCTTTTGATAGATGGATTTTGCAAATAGCATACTGTACTTTTTCCCAAAGGATAACATTAATAATGAGATGTGTTTTTGCTATTAGAAATACAACTTTGTACATATGTAGTTCTACTCCCATTATAGAAAAAAAGTATAAAATCCTTATTAAAAAGCACATTTTGTGTTTTATCTAGAAAAGTTTAACTGTAGTATTAGAGTTTTGTTTGAAGGATAATTAAAAGTCTTGTAAGGTTCATTCTACTTTTTCATCAGAGACACAGTTTGGGGATTAAGAGTGAACGTAACTTACAGGATTATGTCTGTGAGCAGCAAGTCGAAGATAAGGCAGAGTTTTATATGGCCTGGCTAAGTGGTGCCCCAACACAGACCCAATCTGCAAAAACTGGGAAGGGCTTTTGTTTCATTTTGGCTTTTTTTCCACTAGTTTCTAAGGAAATCTTTGTCAAAACACTACCTGCCCACAAGCTGAAAAAAAAATAAACCTCAAAGACTATACATGACAAAGAATAGGCTGTTTATTATTATTATTATTATTATTATTATACTTTAAGTTTTAGGGTACATGTGCACAACGTGCAGGTTTGTTACACATGTATACATGTGCCATGTTGGTGTGCTGCATCCATTAACTCGTCATTTAGTGTTAGGTATATCTACAAAGGACATGAACTCATCATTTTTTATGGCTGCATGAAAAAATGCTCATCATCATTGGCCATCAGAGAAATGCAAATCAAAACCACAATGAGATACCATCTCACACCAGTTAGAATGGCGATCATTCAAAAGTCAGGAAACAACAGGTGCTGTAGAGGATGTGGAGAAATAGGAACACTTTTACGCTGTTGGTGGGACTGTAAACTAGTTCAACCATTGTGGAAGAATAGGCTTTTTTAAAGTACTAGAAAAGTCACCAAAAAAAAAAAAAAAAAAAAAAAAACCTATAACCCACACAAGCAACAAAAACAGACCCTTTATGGAGGAAGAGATCATCTGATTTTTGAGTTAGTACACTGTAATATTCAAAATGTCTAGTTTTCGGCAACAACCAAAAAATATGATGCATGCAAAAAAAGGAATGTAGAGTCCATTCACAGGAGAAATTAATAGAAACTGCCCCTGAGGAAGCAATGATATTGGATCAACTAAACATGGATTTTAAATCAGCTATCTTTAATACGCTCAAAGAGCTAAAGGAAACAATGTACAAACAATTAATGAAAAATAGGAGAATGATGTCTCAACAAATAGAGGTCATCAATAAAGAGATATAAATTATTAAAAGGAATGAAATAAACATTCTGGAGTTGCAAAGTACAACAACTGAAATGAATTCACTAGAGGACTTCAACAGCAGATTTGAGCAGAGAGAAGAAATATTCAGTGAATGTAGAGATAGATTGAGCATATGTATTCAAGAAACAGAAAGCGTAGTACATACAAGAGACACATCATGGCTATAAGATTAATGATAGCTCTAAGGTCCACTCAAACATCTCATGGGGCCTACATCATGTGTCACTTAGTGGTATGGCACGACCTGACCTGGGGACTACTAACCCTAGCCCAGAGATTTCTAGGTGACAAGACCACCTCAGCACAGATGTAACCCTCATAAACCTTAAAACAAACCTTATCCTTACAAGAATAGTTTAACTTCCTTTATGAAAGAAACATCTGTTAATGAGTGTAAAGTGAATACATGTGTAAGAAAGGGGAGTAATTCCCAAAACTCTGGGAATGGTCTCCAGACACAGACCTTCCTGGTCAGTCCGTCACCTGACCCCTTGACTGTATCTGGCCCGTACCACTAACCTGCTCCCACTTTCCATTATGTACAAGCGCTGCCAGAATAAACTGCTTGAACATCAGACGGTATCTAAGACTCACCTTTGGCCCAAACTGAACTGAAGTGGAAAATTCATCCCTGGGAAAGCTGGTTGGCTAGGATCACCCAAGATCCCTGAATATGATAAAAAGGAAAAAATATGATAAAAAGAAAAAAATGAACAGAATCTAAGAGACCTATGGAAAACCATCAAGTTTATCAATGTATGCATAATGGGAATCTCAGAAGGATAGGAGAGAGAGAATGGCTGAAAGAATATTTAAATAAATAATGTTATGTCAGTTGATTATGTATCAATAAAAATAGTATAAAAAGTGAATTATAAAAAAAAATAATAATGGCACTTTGGGAGGTTGAGGTGGCCAGATTGCTTGAGCCCAAGAGTTCAAGACCAGCCTAGGCAACATGGCAAAATCCCATCTCTACAAAAAAAGACAAAAATTAGTCTGGCGTGGTGGTGCGTGCCTGTGTGGTCCCAGCTACTCAGGAGACTAAGGCAGGAGGATCACTTGAGCCTAAGAGGTGGAGGCTGCAGTGAGTTATAATTGCACCACTGCACTCCAGCCTGGGCAACAGAATGACATCCTGTCTCACAAAATAATAATATTGGCCCCAAACTTTCCAAATTTGATAAAAGACATGAATCACCACATCCAATAAGGTGAAACACAAAGCCAGATAAACCCAAAGAGTTCTACACTGAGACACATTACAATCAAACCGTTGTAAGTCAAAGACAAAGAAAAAATCTTAAAAGCATCAAGTCAGAAGATGTCACCTATAAAGGGTCCTCAACAGCAGATTTCTGGGCAGAAACCAGGGCGGCCAAAAGGCAGTGGGATGATATATTTAAAGTGCTGAAAGAAAAATAAAACTATTTGCCAAACATTCTAAATCTAGTAAAACTACCTTTTTTAAATGAAGAAGTGACATTCCCGAATAAGCAAAACTGAAGGAGTTTATTGCCTGTAGGCCTGTCCAACAGGAAATGTCAAAGGGAGTCCTTTGGACAGAAAGAAAAGGGCACTAGACAGTATGCAAAGCCACGTAAAGAACACTGTATGGAAACTACATAAACACAAAAGAAAGTTTTATTTTATTGGAGGTTTGTAATTCCCCTTTTCTTCCTATATAATTTAAAAGACAAATGCATAAAACAATAATTATAACTATGTGTCTATGTTAGTGCATACAATGCATAAGGATATAATTTGTGAAAATCATACAAAAGAGGAGAGACAAAGCGATACAAAAGTAGAGGTTTTTGTATACCATTAAAGCTAAGGAATATTAATTCAAAATAGATCATTACAAATTTGAGAGATTATTTCTAATTCCCAAAGTAATCACTAAGAAAAAAAAAAAAACTTGAAAGAAAAAACAGGCCGGCCGTGGTAGCTCACGCCTGTAATCTCAGCACTTTGGGATGCTGAGGCAGGTGGATCACGAGGTCAGGAGATCGAGACCATCCTGGCTAACACTGTGAAACCCTGCCTCTACTAAAAAATACAAAAAATTAGCCGAGCATGGTGGCGGGCGCCTGCAGTCCCAGCTACTCGGGAGGCTGAGACAGGACAATGGTGTGAACCCGGGAGGCGGAGCTTACAGTGAGCCGAGATCGCGCCACTGCACTCCAGCCTGGGCAACAGAGCGAGACTCTGTCTAAAAAAAAAGAAAAAGAAAAAACAGAAAACAACAAAAAAGAATGAGAATGGAATCAAAATGGTAGACCACAAAAAAAAAAATCAACTAAACCTATTTAGAACATATTTTGGAACCTGATGAATATAGTGATTTCACAAAATTGTGAAATGCCACCAAATTTTATACTTTACAATGGTTAATTGTATGTTATGTGAATTTCACCACAATTTTTAAAAACTTTAGTAAAATAATCACTCATCAAATAAAGTCCAATTTTTACAGATCTATCCAGCACTATTTAGATGCTTTTAAAAATTGCCACATTCAAATATTCAAATATCCCGGTTCATATGTTTTATTTGCCCTAAAATTATAGTCATTCCTTATATTTATGACATTTTTCTGAATTTCTATTTCTTACTGTTTTTCACTTATGCTTTTCTGCATCAGTAAGCTCTTTCTGTATTTTTACTAATCATAGAATTGATGTCATGTAGTGCTAAGAGCAAAAGAGCAAATCTAATAAGTATAAGAAATAGCACACAAATTAAGCAAAGACGGGCTAGCTAAGAGAAACTATACTGTTAGTGAATGGTAGCCAATTCATAAATTATCTTCCAGTTTAATTTGTAAAATGTTTGTGAATTTTTACACCTTTTTCTTTGAAACTACCAAATTATCTGTTCAACCACTGCAGAATATTAGCTGGATATTGGCAAGTGCATTCATAAACACCAGTATAGGCAATGGAGATGGGGTTGAAAGTCATAAGCAGGCACACAACAAGGCCACAATGATGCTTTAAATTTTATTTATTGAAGAAAGCCTCAAAACTGCATGGCCCATTATGGTCCTAAATAACCTTGCATAGAAATCAAAGAACTGCATTACAGTAGCAGCAATGGAAATATAAAAGGAGTTTAAGAGACAGAGATTACAGGCCATGAATACACAGAATTTATCACCTTTTTCAGAAGGAGGGATCAAGGGAGAAATAAAAGGAGATTCTAAGAATTTGAAACTATGGTGATTTAAAAAACCACCAGGAACCAGAAAGAAAAATAATTACAAGCAGCAGCTGGTTTGGAGGTGATGTATTTAACTTAAGTTGATAAAGTGAGAAAAAACACCTTGCAGGCAGCTGGAAAATTCAAGCAGGCAATTAAAAATTCCAGAAAGAAGATTGTTGAGATGTGTTTTTCCTTTAGCACAGGTGTGGGAAGTGTCTGCACAGCACTTCTCCCGAGGCTCTGGCGAAGGACAGGCACATTTAAGGAGGACATGTACAAAGTCAAGGTCAATGGTGAGACTTTGGAAAAACCCACATAAACGTTCTCTTTCTGGCACACAGTCTCTGACCTTATTTTTCATTTTAATACAGTCAGATATTTTTATAGCCTATTATAAAAGTCAGTTATATTTTATACAGCCAATTATATAATCTATTTTATGTGTCCCTTTTATTTTATACTGTTACTATTAATTATATATCAATCTTTTTAAAAAGAGATCAAAGAAAAAAGTAGCAGAAAATAACAAATAATCCTTACGTCACTTAAATGTGGTTTTAAGCTAGCTTTCTATTTAAATTATTACATATATAAGGCTAATAATTCCCACTGAGGAAGAAAATCTTTGATAAAATGTCTTATTTGAGAATCGAAAGAAAGACTTTATAAAAATCACACAATTTTTTCTATGGCTTTTCTCATGGAACCACATCTATAGAGTAGCCTTTGGAAGGGCTACAGTTAAAAATCAAAGGAGATAGTGCACGGGAACAGATTTTAAATTATAAAACTATAAATAGTAAAGCTATAAACAAATAGAAAGTATTACTACTGCCAGAGCAAACAACTCTTTCCAATGTCATCATACTCAGAATCTAATTAAATGGGAAAACCAGAGAGACAAAGCAAGCTCCACTGAGGCTTTGATGTTTATTTCACAAGCCTCCTGACATTTTGGATAATTATGGATGCCTAAACACCCATCACACTAACTGTTAAGTGACATTCAGTCCATATTAATTTTTGCATTGCATTTTTACATTCCTTTCCCTCCTTCTCAAATGAGTTTTTACCATGTTTTATTATACAGGCACACACAAATATTCTTTTCATATTGACATTTTGCATTTCGTACTAACAAAGCTGAAGTATTTACATGTGTTTTTAACAAACTTTTTATTTTAAAATACTTTTAGAGTTACAGAAAAGTTGCAAGAATATTACAGAGGGTTCCCAAAACACCCTTTGCCCAGTCCCCTGTCCTATTAATACCTTACAGGTGCCAGGCACAGTGGCTCACGCCCAGCACTTTGGGCGGCTGAGGCAGGTGGATCACCTGAGGTCAGGAGTTTGAGACCAGCCTGACCAAAATGGAGAAACCCCGTCTCTACTAAAAATACAAAATTAGCCAGGTGCGGTGGCAGGCGCCTGTAGTCCCAGCTACTCAGGAGGCTGAGGCAGGAGAATCACTTGAACCTGGGAGGCGGAGGTTGCAGTGAGCCAAGATTGCGCTAATGCACTCCAGCATGGGAAACAAGAGCAAACCTCCATCTCAAAAAAAAAAACACACCTTACAGGCATATGGTACATTTGTCACAACTAATGCATCACTATTGATACATTATTATTATTAACTAAGGTCCATGCTTTATTTGGATCTCCTTAGTTTTTACTAAATGTCCTTTCTGCGTTCCACGATCCCATAAAGGTTACATCATGTTCATTTCATGTTGTTGCGTTTAGTCATGTGAATCATGTTACATTTAGTGATCACGTCTCAGACTCCTTTTGGTTATGACCGTTTCAGGCTTTCCTTGTTTTTTGACAACCTTAACATTTCTGAGAATGGCTGGTCAGGTATTGTGTAGAAGATTCTATACTTCAGGTAGGTCTAATGTTTTCCACAGAGGTTTTTGAGAGCAGGACCACAGAGGTAAAATGCCATTTTCACTGCATCAAATCAAGGGTACATACTATCAATATAATTTATCACTGATTAACTTTGATCACCAAGATGAGGTGGTGTTTGTCAGATTTCTCCACTGTAAAGTCCAATAATGTACAGTGTTGAAGTTGTTATACACATCTTACACTTCAGAGGTAGAGAATTATGATCTACTTCCTTGAACGGAGAAAATCTATATAAATTATTTGGAATTCTTCTGAGCAGGAATCAGGAAGCATTTCGTTCCACTTCACTGGGTGATGAGAAGCATGACTTTGAGGCAAAAGTTTGATCACTCACATTGAAGAAGTGACCCCACAGGACAGATGTGGCACGCAGGAAGGGGTGAAACAATGACGGAAGGCCAAAGGAAATGTGTTATTGACTTGGATGAAACTACAAGCTACTGGTATCCAATGCCACACACACTTCTGAGCAGCCTTATCAGATGCATCTCAGAATTTCCATTCTGAGAACAAAAGCAGAAAGTTTCTGTCCATCAGCTCTCATCCTCTTTGGCACGTTTAGCCTCACAGGCAGGCACTCCTCCTCATCCCTCACTACTAGAATGAGTCCAGTGGACTCCCAGGGGAAGGCCATCCATCAATATCAGAGGAGCCATAGGGCAAGAAGCTACAGGGAAATGATACAGCCCTAGATGAGACCCTATCACACCTGTGGAAAGCTGGATTTGGTCACTGCAATTCTGGCTGAGAGAGAGACAGGGTTTAGAGGATGTAAGTGTCATACAAAAATTGTCCATATCACAGAGCTGGTCACAACAGCAAAGACATGGTATCAACCCAGGTACCCATCAATGATGGACTGAATAAAGAAAATGTCGTATATACACACCATGGAATACTACATAGCCATAAAAAAACAACAAAACCATTTCCTTTGCAGCAACATGGATACAGCTAGAAACCGTTATCCTAAAAGAATTTATACAGAAATAGAAAACCTAATACCACATGTTATCTTGTAAGTGGGAGCTAAAATATTGGGAGCGTATGGACCTAAAGTTGGGAACAAAAGACACTGAGGAATACAAGACAGGAGAGGCAGTGATGGGGCAGGGGTTGAAACCTACCTACGGATACTATGCTCACTACCTGGGTGACGAATTCAGTCATACCCAAAACCTGAGCATTATGCAATATACCTTTGTAACAAACCTGCACATGTACCTCTGATTTTAAGATAAATGTTGGAAAAGAAGACATGTCCAATCCACATGACACATCTTAATTTTAACCATCTCTCATATGGGTGAATGAGCTTTTTTGGTTTTCTTTTTTTTTTGTATTTTTTAAATTTTATTCTTACTTTAAGTTTTAGGGTACATGTGCACAACGTGCAGGTTTGTTACATATGTATACATGTGCCATGTTGGTGTGCTGCACACATTAACTCGTCATTTAGCATTAGGTATATCTCCTAATGCTTTCCCTCTCCCCCACCCCCACCCCACAACAGGCCCCGGTGTGTGATGTTCCCCTTCCTGTGTCCAAGTGTTCTCATTGTTCAATTCCCACCTATGAGTGAGAACATGCAGTGTTTGGTTTTTTTGTCCTTGTGATAGTTTGCTGAGAATGATGGTTTCCAGCTTTATCCATGTCCCTACAAAGGACATGAACTCATCATTTTTTATGGCTGCATAGTATTCCATGGTGTATATGTGCCACATTTTCTTAATCCAGTCTATCATTGTTGGACATTTGGATTGGTTCCAAGTCTTTGCTATTGTGAATAGTGCCGCAATAAACATACATGTGCATGTGTCTTTATAGCAGCATAATTTATAATCCTTTTGCTAGCTTTTCCCATCTCTTAGCAAGATCCGTCCATCCCCTGCTGGGCAAGATGCTCAGGACACACATGAACTGGCATCAGGCAAGAAAGCTAGGAGTCCTGGCTTTTGATATTTCTGTGGTTGTGCCACCCACCACACTTTCAGAGCACATGTACATTCCAGCTGAGGGGAGGCATTCTCATTCTGAGGCAGAGTCTGGGGCCCTTCACACATGTACGCTAGTATTTTGTTTAGAGCATTCTGCATTTATATTCATGCAACAGAGTGGCTTTTAATTTTCCTTTCTTGTTTGTCCTTGACACTGTTTGGTATCAAGGTTATGCTGGCCTCCTTGAATGAGTTAGGGAGTATTTTGACTTTTTTTCTGTTCTCTGGGAGAGAATGTGTAAGTTTACAGTCATATCTTCCTTAAATATGTTTGCAAGAAGTCATATTTGAAGGCATATTAACTTGTAGTTTTCTTTGTTGAAACATTTTTAATTATAAATTTCTCTCTTACAGGTAGAGAAATATTTTAATTTTTTTTATTTATTGAGTGCAGTTTTGCAGGTTTGTTTTTGAAACATTTTTTCAATTCATTTAAATTCTCAAAATTAGCAGAAAGTTTCTTAAAGTATCCTTACATTTTTGTCTTCTTGATTGTATTACATGCTTGTTTTCCATTTTATTAATTAATGCACTTTGGGTTTTTTCCTTCCTTTTGCTTATTTTTGGCTTAATTTGTTGTTCTTTTTGTAGTTTTTTGGGATGAATGCATGGAAAAATCATTCATATTTAACCTTTTTTCTTTTGTCATATTTGTAATTAAGGCCATGAATTATGGTCTAATCTGCATCTCACAATTCTGATTTGCAGTATTTTCTTATCATTCAGTTAAAATGTTTTCTCATTTCCATTGAGATTTCTTTTGGAGGAATGTATTAAATTCCACGCCTTTCTGGCTTTTCAAGTATTCTCTAATTAATGATTTCTAGCTGAATTCCACTATAGCTAGGGCACTTACTCTGTATGATTTCAATCCTTTGAGATATATTGAAACAATTTATGGTCCAGCATAAATTTAGGTAAATATTCTAAGTATACTTAATAAGAATGTGTATTCTGCAGTTGGAGATATACTACACAGAGTATATAAATAACTACACAGAGTATATAAATATACATTACACACAGTATATAAATATACATTACATATTTTAATTTTTTGTTCAAATCTTTATTTTCATTTTTTTGCCTACTTGTTCAATAAGCTACAGAATGATATACATTAACAATTTTGTATTTCTGTATGTACTGTCTACCTCTATTATTTCTGTCCATTTTCCTTTACATATTTTTAAAACTCTGTTATTTGGTGCAGAAAATGTCAGGCTCACTACATGATATTTCCTTTTTGGGGGGATCTTTGCCCCCGAGGGCTGGCTGTCTTGGTTTCTCTCAGGTATGTCAAGTAGTTAGTTTACTAGTTTCTGGAAATGTAGCTAACTACTATGGGCTGAATGTTTGTGTCCCAACAAAATTCACAGGCTGAAGCCCTAATCCCCAGTGTGATGGCATTTGGAGAGGGGGCCTTTGGGAGGTAATTAGGTTTACATTGTCACGAGGGTGGGCCACTCATGATATGATTAATGCTTTTATAAGAAGAGGAAACAGAGAGAGAGATCTCTTTTCATGAGTAAGTACCAGGAAAGGTCACTTAAGCATAAATTCAGGAGAGAGCTATCAGTAAGCCAGCAAAAGGGCCCTAACAAGACATCAAATCTGCTGCCAGTTGTATGACATGGCAGCTAACATTTCTAAATTAATTATTCATATAGCCAGACACCATGCTAGACTCTACCGTCACCTTGAGGTAAGGCAAAGTCCAAGGTAAAATTTATCCCTCAGAGTTTCCTGAGAGATTATGCTGTGCCTGAGATTTCTGAAATTATTTGGTTTCTTCTTCCTTAACCTGCTTCCCCCATGCTCTGTTTTCTCCTGGCAGCTATGCCCTCATAAATCACTTGTACCTCAGACATTGCTCCAGGTGTGCTTCTAGGAGAACCCAACCAAAGACACCCTTGATTACTTAACTCATGGTTTATTCATTGCACCTGCATGTAAAATTTTCCTACTCAGCACTGAAAATATCAGATGGATACTAAAAGAAATGTTTATGTATTAGTGATAATGTTTAATTTTGTGAATATATTTTAATTGACCAAATTTGAGCCACTGTATCGATTTCAGTTGGGCCACATTTATATTTTGAATTCCTGTATCTTATGAAAGCTGAAGACATCTCCTAAGGCGGGAGCATCCTGTGTCATCTTGTTTGAGGAAAACTTAGAAGGATAATCTGCCTTAAGGTACTCCCCTCACCTTCTTATTGAGGGACTACCAATTTCTCTTACTCACATGCTTTAAAGATTTCTAAGAGTTAGAAACAGAAGATAGCTACATTGCCAGTAGAATATTACACATAAGAAGAGTACGTTGTCATAGAATTTAGAGATCCTCAAATTCAATCCTCTACCCAGGGGGTAAAAAAAGAGAGGTAATGTCATTTCCTTAAGGCCATTCACAATTTAGTATTATAATCTAGTTTCCCTGATTTCAGAACTACACATTACTTAGGATTAGCTACTTGGCGCATTCCCACGGATGACACCATCAGATTGATTTAGAGCTGAAGACTGTGGGCCATAGAGCAGACAAGGACGATAAAGGGTAAGATGGAAAACGCACCAAGACGCTGGCAGGGAGATCAGAGAAGGTGCAGCATGTTCTAAGGAAGGGGCCAAGGAGGGAGGGCAATATCGAAAGCCAAGAGGGAACCAGCCAGGCAGGTGGACAGTCATCTATGGTGTTAAATCAAATAAATCGACACAAAAATAGAAGTGATTCTATATTAATCTCAGAAGTGGTAGCAAACTCTCCACTACTTTAATAGAAGATATCAGCATATTTAGAAATAAATGTGTAACCCTTCACTTATTTTTATTTCACCTTCTCAAGGCTGGTATACAAAATATAATTTATTAGAACAAGTGATACATCACTGATCATAAAATTAATCTGGAACTTTATTTTCCAACCTTTATCAAAATGTTAATGTTTTAGTAAGTTTTTTTTAAACTTCACAAACTAAATCCAGACTGCTGAGGAAAAAAAAAAGGTAAAAATATTAAATAAAACCATCCTATCACCCTAATTCACAGATTTTGACTAAGGATATATCAGACTGTTTTAGCTTTACTTCAATCTAATAACAAACATTAAAAAACTAATTATTTGACTCTGTTTTGCTTTGTAATTAATCAGGAATATTGCCAGATACAGTGGCTCAGGCGTGTAACCTCAGCACTTAGGGAGGCCGAGGCAGGCAGATCACGTGAGGTCAGGAGTTCGAAATCAGCCTTGCCAACATGGTGAAACCCCATCTCTACTAATAATACAACAACAACAAAAAAAATTAGGTGGGTGTGGTGGTGCGTGCCTGTACACCCAGATACTCAGCAGACCAAGGCACGAGACTCGCTTGAACCCACAAGGCAGAGGTTGCAGTGAGCTGGGATTGTGCCACTGCACTGTAGCGTAGGTGACAAAGTAAGACTGTCTCAAAAAAAAAACAAAAAATAAAAAATAAAATAAAAAGGAATAAATTGACTCTTTCCAGCACAGTTCTGTGGAGGTCAGAATTCTCTGAGATTACCTTTATATAAATGAGTATATATATTTAGTTTGCTAAAATGGGGTTAACTGGCAGGACACACTTTGAAACTGGTTAAAATGTGTACAGCACTGTGTTTTTGTAATTTATGTGGCCCCATCACAGTGCCACAATCATTTTCAGAAGGACAATACCATCTCACTGTTATCCCTGCTCTTCCCGTAGGAAATTAAAGTTTGGTGGTGAAATATCTTGCCAATCCTTAAGGGAGTAAAATGTAGTAGTGATTAAGACCCAAGAATAGTGAATTAATTCCAGATATGTCTAACACCAAAGAAGTCGCTCTTCAACTAAACTTTTATGATCTGCAGGAAAGAATACGAAAGAGAAGAAGGAGAGTGGAAGAGCTGAAGTTCAAGTGTGTCTGGGAGGCTCAAGTTCTGTGACTGTTAGGGATGAGTATTCAGAGTTTCAGCCATATTAGCACCCCCATCTCAATATCAAGAGCTGTACACCTATGGATTTAAGACAAGGCCCAAACCCAGAAAAAATTAGGGCTCAAGACAGAAATATCAGGCAGTGCTAACAAATCACATGCCACAGCCTGAATCAGCAGGAAGGCAGGGGACTCTTGCAATTCACGTAATTCTTCAGTTGCCAAAGGCATACTCTCAGCACATCGGATTCTGGATATCATGAGTTGGTCTAGAAGCAAATAAATTGCTGGCATGTTCTGTTTTCCAACAAACTCCACAAGTACAGGGCATCTCCAGTGCAACAAACTCAGTCAGTGAAGTTCACCTGCCCCAGCCTGGTCATGGGACCTCTCAGGCAAATTTCAGACTCATACCAGTTGTGCCAGCCAGGTTCCCCTTTCTCTAGGCTTGAGATTTTTCAATCCTGTACAAAAGTTATATCTTACTCTTTTTTCATACAGAAAGTATTGGTTATTAAATATATTAATACTATCATTTTAAAAATTTAATTATTATAAAGTTTTTTTTTTTTTTTTTTTTGAGACTGAGTCACGCTCTGTCACCAGGCTGGAGTGCAGTGGTGTGATCTCAGCTCACTACAACCTCCACCTCCCGGGTTCATGCCATTCTCCTGCCCCAGCCTCCTGAGTAGCTGGGGTTACAGGGACCCGCCACCACGCCCGGCTAATTTTTTGTATTTTTAGTAGAGATGGGGTTTCACCATGTTAGCCAGGATGGTCTCGATCTCCTGACCTCGTGATCCACCCGCTTTGGCCTCCCAAAGTGCTGGGATTACAAGCATGAGCCACTGCACCCGGCCTATAGAGGTTTTTAAAAAATATAATACGTTTAACACCAGGAAATATCCAACTCATAAAAAAGCACCTACTTTTTTTTTATCTTTAGGGATCTATCCTCTTAAGCACTGACATGCAACATGCATATCTTGGAAGATTTAATGAAGCATAATAGTTGTTTGCAAAGAAGCATAACAATTTAGGGCAGTCAAAATTGCCAAACAACGCTATATAGATTGCTATAATTATTCTTATAGAGATCCATCCAAGAATGGGAGTTATCTCTGTCAATTAACCAAGTAAGCTAATTCCTCTACAGATAAGTGCTTGATTTTAATATCAAATTCTATAGGTATTGGGAAAACATTGCTTAACAACCATTTAGAATAGAAGGGTGTAGTTGTGGTTTAAAAAATAGAAAATGGAAAAATATAGACAAATATCCAATTTTTAACATCAGGAAATATTATGATAGACAAATATCCAATTTTTTAACATCAGAAAACATTCTTATCTTACAGAAGATGTGAGTGGAAACTCACAGTATTTGTCAGCTATGGAAACCATCTTTTATATACTTAAAGAGGTGTACATATGTATTTTTCTACTCACACTTGTAAATATATTATTTTTGCTTTGGACAATCATTTTATTTACTATTGTATTATTTTTCCTGTACACAAATTTATCAATTTGCAATCACTCATTTCCAAGGTTGTCCAAGTACATTAAAATAAAGACTTACGTTCAGATTATAACACTATAAAAGATGTGGTTTCTCCATATTCTGGATTCTAAATGTACTAAGGACACATTTAGACAACCAAATGGGACACTAGAACCTGTTTGAACTCTACATTGACAACACTAAGAGTCAATGTACACTTAACTTTAAATTGCCCATTAAAATTTAAGCTATACTGAAACTCCAACAATGACAATACTATGCAGCTATCTTTTCTAGATAACCTTCTCTCTATTCCTGGATTCCTGTTGGATGGTTGATTGGATTCAAGAGTCACATAACTAATCTCTTTAGCAAAATCTGTCCTACCCATCCTTAATGTTCTCTTCAGAGCATGCAAAATTTCCCATCTTCTGCAATATGAATAGGCCAAGAATGTTCCAAACCATCAAGTCTGATTGCCTTTTTTGCTTATCAGTTTCTTTCTCAATGTATTTCTTCCCTCACACATTTTGCTATAAGCTTCAAGGAGAAACAAAGGTATACCTTTTCTATTTTGCTTGGAAAGCTCCTCAGGTAATTATCTAAGTTCATTGTTTACAAGATCTAATCTTTACCCAGCATTAGAACACAATTCGACCAAATTTTCTACCACTTTTTAACAAGGATTGCTTTCCCTCCTATGTCCAATAACATGACCCTCTTTTCTTTCTGAACCCTTGCCAGATACACTTTAAACCTTTGTATTTACACCAACGGTCTTTTCAAGGCAATCTGAGTTTTTTCTATCAAGTGCCTCAAAATTCTTCCAACCTTTGCTCATTACTCAATTCCAAAGCCACTTCCATATTTTAAGGTATTTATTCCAGTGGCACTAAACTTCTAGTACCAAAATCTGTATTTGTTTTCAAGGGCTGCAGTAGCAAAGTACTACAAACAGGGCATCTTAAAAGAATGCAAGTTTATTCTCTCACAGTTCTGGAAACTAGCAGTCTGAAATCAAGATGTCCACAGGCAGGGCCATACTCCCTCTGTGGGCTTAGAGAAGAACCCCTCTTTCTTTCTTTCTAACTTCTGATGGTTGCTGGCAATCCTTCGCATTTCTTGGTTTGCAGCTGTATCACTCCAATCTCTGCTTCCATCTTCATCTGGTCTACTCTGTCTTTCCTGTCTCTGTATGTCTCCAAATCTCACACTCCTTATAAGGACACCAGTCATTGGATTTAGCCCCCCACCCCTTAATCCAGTATGGCCTCATCTTAACTTGATGATATCTGATAAGACCCTATGTCCAAATAAGGTCACCTTCATCGGTATTTGGGTTAGGATTTCAATCTTTTAGGAGGACACAATTCAACCCAAAACAGCACATACGTGGCAAAATTAAATTAGCATACTTCGAATGGAAAGTATGTTTAATGGTAATCCTCCCCTCTCCTCCCCTCCCTCTCTCTCTTTTGAGACAGAGTCTCACTCTGTCACCCTGGAGTGCAACAGCACAATCTTGGCTCACGTTACCTGCACCCCCTGGGTTCAAACGATTCTCATGCCTCAGCCTCCTGGATAGCTAGGACCGCGGGTGTACACCACCATGCCTGGCTAACTTTTTTGTATCTGTAGTAGAGACAGAGTTTTGCCATGTTGCCCAGGCTGATCTCAAACTCCTGAGCTCAAGTAATCCTCCTGCCTCAGACTTTCAAAGTGCTAGGATTACAGGTGTGAGCCACTTTTAGTAGCAATGGTAGCCTTTTTTTGATCCCCTTCCCTCATTACTAGGGCCCTACTCATTTTCACAGTATTACCCTTGACACTTCTTATCCCACAGATGGAAAATAAGTGGGTAACTTTCTCATTTTTTTGCTCTATTCTTTGGCTCTAAGTTTTCATAATTCTGTAGGAAAGAAGTCATTCTGTGTATCTAAGATACTAGGACCTTTATTTGCTGGTTTAATTTATTTACATATGACTGCAGACTTGGCTGAACACTTTTTCCTAGCCTGACTGAAATATTATGAGAAATGTTATGAGAAATTATGAGAATAATTTCTCATAATTATTAATTATTATGATTATGATTATTATTATGAATATTATTATGATTATTATTAATAAAAATAATTAATTTATTCTCTCTAATAAATAAATCATTATGAGAAATATTATGAGAAATTTCTAGTATTTCAATACTAGAAATAAAATATAGCCTTTAATAAATCACTGAAAATCTGATGTTCCTTTGTGAAAACTTCATGTAATTAACAGGGGAAAAAAAGAAAACCTAAATCAAAAAGAAAAATGTAATCAAGTAGGTTTACAACCAGCAAAAGATAATTAAAATGATCCTGTTTTGTGTCTCGGTTTCATTAACATGTAAATGAGATTCATGAAGTTTGATATTGTGTTTTACCAAGAGCCATAGAAATGAATTAAGAATGAAAATGAGTCCCACTGATGGAGACTCCTGATGAGTATATAAATTAATGAAAAATATGATTTGATCTAATTAATAACATATATTTTGTGATGTATTGAACCTCAACAAAGGAAATCAAGATAAATAGGTAGATTAAAATGTTGTGTTCCTTTCACTGGCCCACATTCTGTGAAAGCTTTTATGACTCAAATGAAGTGGTGGTAAATGTCAAACTCTGTTTTTCTCTATAAAGAAGCACAGAATGGAGACCTTATTCTAGGATTAGCATTGCAATAACAGCATTCCTGCTGGTGGGTCCATAGGTACAGGGCCTGGAATGGCCATCAGAGAGGCTAGGAAAGTCCCCTGATGGGTCAGGGACTCAGAATTGCAAAGAGGAAGAGACAGTCCCATGTGACCAGTAACTCTTACTGCAAGTCACTCAAAAAGAAAACGCTAGCATTATCTACACAAATATATTCAAACACCCCCCAGTTTCCCATTTGACAGAAGGATCTCAGTTCTCACTCTCCACTGATACCTTCACATTCAGAAGCACACAAAAGTAGGTATCTCCAATAATATGAAATGAAATTTTAAAATAAACTTAAGCTTAAAATCATGTTAAAGTGTTATATCTATATTGTAATTAGAACTATGTGTGATATATATTATGTATACCAGATGGCAAAATACACACACACATACACACACACACACACACTCTTACCTATTTGTCATGTCCAATGTTCAGTGTGCTCAAGCATTAAGCACATATTAAGGATAACATCAAAGAGTAAAAT
The DNA here is from genome assembly GCF_000001405.40 of Homo sapiens. NCBI lineage: Eukaryota > Metazoa > Chordata > Mammalia > Primates > Hominidae > Homo > Homo sapiens. The sequence continues at coordinate 76,317,629 of NC_000016.10, read as the reverse complement.
TAGAAGTGACTGACTGATGTTGCCACGAGAGGAGGATAATAAATGGGAGAACCAAAAACATCATGCATTAAAACTTTTTATGATTGTTAAAACGTTTTATGTATTAGTATTGCCAAGCGTGTTTTCCTCCAATGCATGTGCAGATGAATTTTACCTTAGTATGTTATGAAAAGAGATCACAGTGACACTCTGTCTCTAAGTACACAGTGTTTTTGAAATTCTGTCTTATTTCTACAGCAAGGTGCCATTTAATTATCTTCAGTTTCCTTTTAACATATTCAAGTGATCAAACACAAACTAAGATGAACTGAGTTTTTTTTTTTGGGGGGTTTTTTGGGTTTTTTTTTTTTTGGTTTTTTTTTTTGTTTTTTTTTTTTGAGACAGGGTCTCACTTTGTCGCCCAGGCTCTAGTTCAGTGGCACAATCATAGCTCACTGTCTCCAACTTCTGAGTTCAGTGATACTCCTGCTTCAGCCATAGCTGGGACTACAGGCATGCATCACAGGTGAATTTATTTTTATTATTTTGTAGAGACAAGGTCTTGCTGTGTTGCCCAGGCTGGTCTTGAACTCCTCACTTCAAGTGATCTTCCCACCTCAGCCTCCTAAAGTGTTGGCATTATAGGCATGAACCACCACACCTGGCTGAGTACTCCTAAAGGACCATGAAAATCTTATTATGTTCCTATTCTTCAGCTGATAAGAAAATCATGTCAACCACATTGAGAATCCAAAACACTGAGGGATTGTTATTTTTAAATAATTAGCGTTTTTGAAAATTACTTCTTTAACTTGAAACTGAAGGCCAATTAAGGTTTCATCACTAATGTGTCCATAAGGATTGTATATTATTGTAGAAAATATTTAGTAAGATATATAAAAAGCTTGTCAGATGGAAGGAACTCAATTCTTCGTAATATAGGATGTATCCCTTTCACATTCCAGAACAGAAGCTAGATGTCATATACATCTCATGAGTTTTAACCATTTGCTTATTTCGAAATTTACTTTCTTTTACCATGTATCATTCATAATGACTGTATGCAAAGATAATGAAAAACTAGTGAGATTTTCTATGGGCCAGTCAGAGGAGAAAAGCAGACTTACCATCTCTTCTATTCAGCCTTGCAAATCCAGGACCATGACTGCTGGAGAGCTCGGAAGAACTGCTGAAGGATGCCTGAGGCAAGGCAGACACAAGAGGATCATCACAGTCATCTGCCAGGAGGAACAATGCCACGTTAGGGTTAGTTAGTGCTGAGGCTTTCGTGGAATCAATAGACAAAACAACCAACAAGTAAAACAACAACATCAAAAACTAGGATCTAAGATCTCTAAAAATATGCCTACTACTTCCAGGGCTTACTAGAAGTCTAGTAAGTTCAATGAGAAAAGAAAAAACTTAAAGACAGGAGAATATGAAAATACTTTAAAAATCATAAAATTATATAATAAAACAATATCTTAAGGTAGAAAAGATTATACCTCATTATAAAAGATTCACAAATTTAACTGTATGAAAATTAAATACTTAAGGTTTCCAAAAGACACTGTAAAGAAATTAAAAAGAAAAATCACAAAATGGAGAAAGTACTTGCAAAACCTATAACCCAGTATACAATTAGTATTCCAAATAAAGGAAAATAAAACACAAAATAAAGTAAAACAAAAACCACCTTTAAATCATGACACACATTAACAAAAATAACACAAGGCACGATCAGACTTCACAGCACAGCCTGGCGTGGTGGCTCACACCTGTGGTCCCAGCACTTTGGGAGGCTGAGGCAGGTGCATTACTGGATGTCAGGAGTTCAAGACAAGCCTAGCCAACATGGTGAAACCCCATCTCTACCAGAAATAAAAAAATTAGCAGGGTGTGGTGGCACACGCCTGTAGTCTCAGCTGCTAGGGAGGCTGAGGCAGGAGAATCGCTTTAACCTGAGAGGCAGAGGTTGCAGTGAGCCGAGATCACACCACTGCACTCCAGCCTGGGTGACGGAGTAAGACGCTGTCTCAAAAAACAGACTTCACAGCACAGATCCTATATAAATTGATCCTCAAATATATCAGCAAAAAGAGATGTAAACTGGGACTACAAAAGGATACTAGTTTATGGACATTAGACTAGCAAAATGTAGGCCAAGAGAAACTCTGACACATTGCTCGTGGGAGTATAAACTTGAGCAACTACTTTTATAAAAACAACTTGTCATTAGACGTATATTTGAACTTTCCCATACCCTATGTTCCACCAGTCCCTTTGATATACGTAGGTCCTCCTATGATGAACCCCCAGCCTCAAGGAGTTTTGTCTTTTTACCCAAAGGTGATATATAAATATTAGTAATTTTGTGTCCTATGGAAATAAAAATGTACTCAGAGGAGCTTGCATTTGTGCACCAGGAGACATGTATGATTTCTAGCAACGTTGCTCATAATAGCAAACAAACAAACAAAAAATTAACGACCAGATACCCAATGGCCAAAGAACAAATAAAACAGTGCTTTTCACAACAGTATAATACACGCCAGTAAAAGAAACAACAACAACACAAAACAAAATAGTTGAATCTTAGAAGCGACATTTTTGAGGAAAACAAAATCAAGTTATAAAATAATATGTAATATGTTGATCGTTTTGAGAATCTTAAAAAGCAAAGCTAAGTAATACTGTATGTTGTTTAGGGACATATATGAGTTTAAAAAACTACTTTTACAAAAAAAAATGAAAATTATAAAATTCAGGATCTTGGTTACCTTGAGAAAAAAGCAGAATCAACACACATGTATACAGTTTTAATGTGATGGAATGCTCTAATTTGGGGATAGGTGGTCTCAGAGGTGTTAGAACCAGAGTGACACCATCTTGAGTGAGGGCTAGGAAAATGAGGCTGAGACTTGCTGGGCTGCATTCCCAGAAAGTGAGGTATTCCTAGCCTCCAGATGCTTATGGTTAAGGGAACCGATTGATAACGTTTACTTAACAGACCCAGACTTGGGCGTGTCCTGATGTCCCAATAATTTGAGAACAAAAGCATCCCTAATTTTGCTTTAAAGATATTCATTGATTCTTGCAAAATGTAGTAGTTAAGAAAATTAATCCTTTATCACAAACCCTTGTAGCAGAGCTCATCTCCCCATGATCTTTTCTAATCCTATACATATGTGTGTATACACATATACACACAAGTATTTGTACCAAGGGTGACCGCATTATTCCTCCTACTTTCGTGAATGCCCTACTCTGTCTATCGAGTCACTGAACTTTCACCACTTTACTTTCTTAATAAACTTGCTTTTGCTTTGCACTGCGGACTCGCTCTGAAAGCTTTCTTTCGCAAGATTCAAGAACCCTTTCTTGGGCTCTGGATTGGGATCCCTTTGTGGTAATAGTGGCATAGTCAAAGGCTTATAATTATGATGTTTCATATAAAATATATTACACATGCACATACATTTACATATGTATCAATGTGTATACATACATATTAATGCATATACATATTTATCGTCTATCTACCCTTTTATGTGTATCACATATATTGCTTCTAATATTAAAAGATAAAGCACAAAGAGCGAGGGAAAGTATAATCTCATGTGTATCATGAAATCCATACATGTTTAATTTATTCAGCCAATTCTTCATTCGATGTCATCTTTAAAGCATTTGCCTTTTATTTTATACTCTTAAGTTGTTCCCATTTTTGCATTAATCAGAAAAATATTTCTCTATTTAGTTTTTAACATATACATTCTATAATTTAAAATTATACAGGGTTATTGTCCCAAATGTTTTCATTAATGGTAAGCAATTATTTAAATAAATCTAAGAATTATCTAGATTCACCTGAAATTTTATTAAGTTTATTATACATGAACCTAATTTGTTCTTGAATGCCTTTCCCAAGAGCTTACCTGAGGTAGCATTTTACTTTTCAAGATTGTCTCGTTTTCATTCAAAGTCTACTTTTTCTTATTCTTACCTTAAATTCTTTCACCATTATGACAGACAGTTCCTGCATGTCTACTGACTAGCTTAAGTACTAAAGCCAGCCAATCCAGTTGTAATTCAAGAATAAGGAATACAGACATAAAAAGATATACAACCCATGGAGTGGTGAAGGAAATTCTGATTATTGCCAATTACAGGCAACAACAAAAATGTTTTAGTATGCTCTGGAAACTGTGGCATGTATGTTTACACACACAAGAGAGTGCATTATGTATATGGAAGGAGGGCGCACATGTGGGTGTGTGTTTACTAGAACTAGGAATTTTTAAAATCATTTTCAGCATGCAGGTGTAAGTGTGGTGAAAAGGGTGTTTAATTGCAATACAAAATCAATTATGTAGATTCAGATCGATGTTTTGGATGTAATGCCTCTCTGGTACAACCACTCTAGGGAACATATATTTATTGTTCATTTGTTTTTGCCAACTATAAATTAAGAATCAATATTGTTCTACCTCTAGCTTTAAAAGAGTGGAATTAAAACAAAAGAAGGGGAACTTTTTACATTCGTGGGGAGAAAGACATGTAATATGGAAAACAGAAGGGCACACAGGAGGCTTGTGATATTTGGTCAAGTTTTGGTTGTTGGCCTTGGTGGTTACATGGCATTATTATTCTTTACCATGGGCATACACCTGCCCCTACAATCTGTTGTATGTTTATTTTACAATGATATATTGTAGTTATTCTTACAGAACTAATAATAACTAAGACACATTTAGAGAGCACTCTGTGCTAGGAAGTTATAATCCTGCCACACATAGTAACTAATCTTTACCCCTCCTTGTTGATATATTAATGTTACTCTCTTGCAGATGAGATCATTGAACACAGTTCGATTAATTTGCTCTTCTCATTGTGATAGAACCGTATCTATAACGTGAGTTGCGGTCCAGAATCCACTATGTAAGAATACCATGACTATAATTATTATTTCTTTAGGTTTGAAGTGTAGGAGTTCCATCAGACACCATAATAGCATGAACAAATTCTCTCAAGGAGTGTGTACTCCAGTTCCAGGTTTGCCATGCTATTTTTTTATTTCCCATTTGATCTTCAACAGTCTTGACAAGAGAGGAAGAGAACCTCAAACAGTAATAATCAGTGTGGAGTAAACATGATATTTTTCTCTACATATAAATTAAATTTGGAATTGTGGATTAAGCATGAGTCTCCTGAGTTTAATTCCAGAAAACCAGTTTTCTCTGACTGCACCAATAAAACACAGGATCTAGACTTGCAAAGCTAAGGACCACATTCCAATTCAGAGGTTCTCAACCAGAGGTAATTTCACCCTACTGCTCCCCACTTCCAAGAAATATCAGCAATATCTGAAGACACTTTTGTCATCACAACTAAGAGAGGATACTTCTGGCATCTACTGGGTTGAATCCAGGGGTGCTGTTAAACATTTGACAAAACACAGGGTAGCCTTCCACCACAAAGAATGGTCTGGTCTCAAATGTCAATAGTGCCAAGGTTGAGAAACAATATTCTAGAATCTGGTAAAGCAACTCAGAAAACTAGTCTTCTCCTGGAGTAATCTCACAGCTAGAACTTTCAATGATTATTAGCTCTAATTTACAGCTAATTTTCAGATGCAAATAAAGATTATTCACTGCACGTGAGTATACAGGCATTTAAGTAGGGGGCTTTTCAAATTGGAAATAACATTTTAGCTATTTCAGCCTAAAACATAATTGCATTTTTAAAAAATTAAGTGCTATATCAGATTGGCACATCATCCTGGTCCCTTTACTGCTGAGCCACAGACAAGATTCTTGGTAAAAAAGGGCACAGGAGACCATGGACGTCTGCATTCACTAGTGAAATTTAGTAATCGAGTAACCAAACATTTCATGGACGTCTGTACAATTAAAAATGCAGCTGGGTATGTTGAGTTCATCATTGTTTCTTTCAATTAGAGAAGAAATGAACATCACTCTCATTACTCCATGCTTATCCAACATTGTATTACATTTTATTTGACTTTTCTCAGTCATATTAGAATTTCCACATAGACCTTGATATCAGTTGGAAGTAGTAAAACGATAGCTTTAGTCTTTTCATTAAAAAATGTATATATACTAGTTACATCTACAATATGTTTTAATGAATTCTGTTAAATATCCACATTAGAAAAAAATATGCTGAGTCATTTTCATATAGATACACCATATACATACAAATCTATGGCTTTCCGTTCAATATCTCAGAAAAGTCACCATTTACTCTTTACATGACAGAAAAACTTACCATTGTCATTAAAAAGTAAATGGTAAATTAGATCTCTGGCAGATTGTATATACAAAAAAACTCAATAGCCTCCTTCACTATAGCTTGCATCTTAATTGATGCAAGGTATACTGAAAATATTTTAATATAGCTCAATTAATGAAAATTTTATTTTACAAATGGCTTTAATGCATAATTCTCATAAGCAAATAAAAGCTGTTCAGTTTTTAATAAAAGTAATTCAATTTTCTTAATCTGTGTGTAATATTACCTGTACTAAGATAATAGGTATATATTATTAGGTGCTACGTTCTCAGTGCTTTACATGCATTAACTCAACTGATCCTGATAAACACCCAATATATTTGATATTATTAACTCTAGGGACACTTGAGGAAAAAAGAGCACAAGAATTAAATAATTAAATTAGGAAAATTAAACAATTTACCTAAGGACCCATGACTAATAGGTGGTAGAAAGTGTATTTAAATTCAGGCAATCTGGTGCCAGATCTTCTATTCTGAACCAGTACTTTGTTGAAACAAGCACTGGTGACCTAAAATATACTTTTCAAAAAAAAAAAATAGGGCTGATTTTCAGCAGTATTCAGCTTAGTTGCCACTGAGTAGTCATCTTCTCAGTTATTTGGAAGACATGCCAAAATTAGTTGCATGCCTGCTAATGAATCGTATGTCCCATAAAAATATCCATTACAGAACAGACTAGAATAAATAGAATAGGTAGCAAACATAGTTTAAATCATCAAAAATCCTCATACACCAGAGGCAGGGTGAGACCTTTGACAGGAAGCTTTGGAAAGATTGGAGTCTCGTTCCCATCAGAAAATAGTTTATTTAGACCTATTCCAAATAGTCCATTGACAGATACAGGATTAAGGAATGGCCTTCCCTTCAAGACATCTATTTTCCTGAACAAAACATTTTATTCCAATCTATATTACAATTTCCATCCAGTTAAAATTAGAAATCATCAACATATTTAAGAAAGTATGGAATTATGTTTGCATATATCAAAAAATATTACTTGTTAGTCAAGATTTCATTCAGAAATTTTGACAATGACATTGTACTGTAACCATAAACCCAGTCTGGGCTACTGCTACAAATTTCAGGTTCATTTCAGGATCCCAGGTGGCGTCTTGTCTCCTCGCCCTACCATGACACACAACCCAGTACCTGATGTACCTCTGTTTCCTGCCCAACGAGAGACTGAATACACAAATGGCAAATGGCCAGTCTGCATGCAAAAAACAGAACCTGTAGCAACTAGCCCAGGAAGCCAAACTACTATCTACAGGAGCCAGTCCAGGAAGCCAGACTTCTGTCTGAAGCAACCAGTGCAAGAAGCCAAATAATAACTCCTGTAGCAACTGGCCCCTGTTTTAGTCCGTTTCCATGCTGCTGATAAAGACATACCCGAGACGGGGAAGAAAAAGAGACTTAACCGGACTCACAGTTCCACATAGCTGGGAAGGCCTCAGAATCATGGCGGCTGCAAGAGAAAATGAGGAAGCAGCAAAAGCGGAAACCCCTGAGCAACCCATCAGATCTCATGACACTTACTCACTATCACGAGAATAGCACGGGAAAGCCCGGACCACCCCCTCCGCCCAAACCCCAATTCAATTACCTCCACCTGGGTCCCTGTCACAACACGTGGGAATTCTGGGAGATACAATTCAAGTTGAGATTTGAATGGGGACACAGCCAAATCCTATCAGCCCCAAATAGCCAGGACTTAATAACTTACAGCTTCCCTCATTTTTGCCCATGTTTCCAATTTAGAACCAGCTGAATATGTTTAGGAAATATTTAGAAATTTTACTAAGTATAGAGAAAGCCAAATGTATACCTCTAACTAATCCCATAGGATGCCCCACTTCTGGTCAGCCTGCCTACAGCCTCCCCTAGCCAAGGCCTCCAACCAGGGCATACCTGAGCCTGCCCCTTTACTCCAGTGTAAAGTTTCCTCTCCTCTGCCTGCCTTTGAGTCTCTGCCAAACTCAAATGGTGGTGGCCAACCACCTTGCTGCAGCAAACTCTAAATAAACAGCCTCTGCTTGATTTCCTTTGGGTGGGCATCATTTATCTCCATACCCTGGAGCTTTCCCCCAGCTCTGCCATCTCATCCTCACAGCTGCAGCTGTACAGTCTACACTCAACACCAAAAAAGAGCCACCAAAGTCCATTTTAAGCACCCAGAAGACACAAGTATGTTTAAAAAGCAGCATCAGCCACCTGGTAAAAAGTATTATAGGCCAGGTGTGCTCGCTCATGCTTGTAATCCCAGCACTTTCAAGGCCAAGGTGGGAAGATCTCTTGAGGCCAGGAGTTCAAGATCAGCCTAAGCAAGATGTCAAGCCCCATCTCTTTAAAAAAAAAAAAAAATTAGCCTGGAATCCTAGCTACTCAGACGGCTGAGGCAGGAGGGTCTCTTGAGCCCAGGAGTTCGAGGCTGCCCTGAGCTATGATCGCACCACTGCACACCAGCCTGGACAACAGAGCAAGACCCCATCTCTAAAATAAAATTAAAAATAAAAATAAAATTCTATGGCTTAGCTCCAGGTTGCAGGGTTGTCGCATCTCTGTAGTGTGCATCTTCAGTGATTCATCCTAACTGCCTGGTAGCATCACCTCGGGGAGATGTCAAATTTCCCATGATTGTGTCCCACAGCCAGAACCATGCTAGTCTGGAAACCACTAAAATAGAGCTGCAAATTAATTTCTGTCCAGTGATGAGCATTGTTCCTTTCATAATGTCCTTATGCTTTCCATACTGTTTCACGGGACTGTGAAGGAACACAGCCCGAAGGACTGAAGGAACTTTTGTGGTGTGACACCCCACCCCTCTCTCCCTATGTAGTAGCCATGGTGCCTGACGGTGTGTGGAGGAAGCTGCTGCACTGTCACATTCTGATGAGAAAGAGAATAAGTTTAGGGAAAACTGACAATACACCTAGGATTGAATAAAATATAATTTTTCTAAGCATAGGTGATGAAATATGAGCCAATCCTGGCATCGTCTCTCATCCTCTCATCATTACCTAAAATGATATTTCAACTCGATTAAATGCCACGAGTGTAGACTACTATGCAGTTCTTTAGCTTCTTTAAGTATTAATTTGACATTGACATGAAAATTAACATTTACTTGAGAATCCTGGTTTTAGATATTTGAAATAACACAAACATGAGCTTCTAATTCTGTCAGTCATTGGCTTAAATCTAAAAAAAAAATGTTCCTGCAATTTAAAACAAGTAACTATCAGTATGTTTTCCTAGAGCTAAACTACTAAGACAGGGATAATTTTCTAATTGTCAAGTAATTCATTTAGACAGCAGCCTATAAATTTCTATGCATTTTCTCTTATAGGAGACATGAGTAGAATTTATATATAACTGTTAATTCTCTGTGATGTTATTGACCTAAGCTTTCATTTGGAGGCAAACACTGGCTTACATGCTCCAAGTTATAGCCTGAGTTTGAATAGCTTTTCCAATTAATCTTCACAATTAATGGATTAATGGGAAGGCAGTTAACTTCTAATGACAGAACAGCCAGGGGCTGATTGATTTTAGAGGTTTAATAGCAACTATTTAAAGTCCAGATATTAAGACAAAGAGACCAATCAAAGGTGAAGGGGTAGAAGAAATAATAATTTTTTAGAAAGTAAAGAGAGCATCAGAGATCTAGAAATCTGCACACATTACAGACTTTTATTGACAGATAATTTGGCCATATGTGACGCCATGTCACCTAATTTGATATCAGGAATAGTGAAAAGAACATCTTTATGGGGTAAGCATTTCTGGAGTTTGGTATATATATATATATATATATATATATATATATATATGCATTTAAAATAGATATCTAGGAGAATTAGAGGATCAAAAGTTAATTTTAAAAAATATATCCAAAGATGCTGAAACATATTTCCATTTTTTCCACAATGATAATATCAATTTAGTCTCCATTTCATCACACACACCTCAGCAAGGTTTGCTGATTTACTAAGTGAACAAATTGTAGTAGTTGTGTATTTATATCGTTGCTTTGATTAATGCAGTCAAACAATGTTTTCCATATGTTGTTATCCATTCTCAATACCTGCAAATTGTCTGTCATTATCCTCTGTTTTTCCACTTAGAAACATAATTTAAATTAATTACGATATTATATACATTGTTGGCCAAACATATTTGTTTCAGTTGCTTTTTCTGTTTTTATGTTCATCTTTAATTTTGCTCATGCTTTTTGTGTTATTCAATGAAGTACTTTTGTTATTGTTAGGCTATGGCTGTGTGCTTAACCATCTATTGTAATCAAACATTTGTCTCTTTGTTAGTGACCTATTTAAGCATTGTGAAAACATGGGGTCTGGATTCAGAGAGGCCAGTCCTCAAATTCTTGCTCTGGTACTTCCCGAGGTCTGATACATACTGCTTCAACTTGATGTACCTCTGCCTATAAAGTGCAGATGAAAATATCCCCTTCACAACAGAACTGCAAGAACTTCATGTTATACCATACATAACATTTAAAAAGTACAGAGTAGGTACTTAAAATAATCCATCCCTTCTTCTTATACCTCCCAATACCATTAAGCAAAGAAAAGTGTGTTCTCATCAAGGATTTTTCATATGCCTGTCTTTAATGCACCACCTCGAAAATTAGTCAGTGTGATAAATTGATTTGGAATTGTGGAAACAAAATCTTCGTATCAAGCACTGTACCTGTCACTGGACGTATGCGAATCATCTTGACTCCTGCCTGTGACATCTCACGTTCAAATCCTCTGACTTGAGCACCAGTTAGATTTTTCACTTTTTGCTTTCAACATTTTGCTTTCTATAACTGGTCCAACTAAATATTCACAGTTTCAGAGTGTAGGAGCCAATCATGTTTTATTGCATTCACGTGGGATTTTGTTTGTTTTTGTAGAGATTGGGGAGTCGGGAAAGGGCATATTTGCCACTGGATGTTAAGGGCCCACTGTTGATACGCAGTGGAAAACAATGAGAAAAGACAGATCTTCAGAAAAATATCAAAACCAACTAACTGCTTCGAAATGAAAGTCTATAACCTTATTAAGAAGGATGGGTTCAGCCACTGTAGAAAGCAGTTTAGATATTTCTCAAAGAACTTAAAACGGAGCTATTTGATCCAGCAATCTCATTACTGGGTATACATGCAAAGGACAACTAGACCTTTATACCAAAAAGACACATACATTCATATATTCATCACCATACTGTTCAGAATAGCAAAGATGTGGAATCAATCGAGGTGCCCACCAGTGGTGGACTGGATAAAGAAACTGTGATACATATATACCATGGAATATTATGCAGCCAAAAACTAGAATAAAATCATCTCCTTCACAGCAACACAGATGAAGCTGGAAGCCATAAGCTTAAGTAAATTAATGCAGGAAGAGAAAAGCAGTTATCACATATTCTCACTTATAAGTGAGAGCTAAACATTGAGCACACATGGACATAAACATGGGAACAGCTGACACTGCAGACTACTTGAGTGGGGAGAAAGGGAGGGGACCATGTGTTGAAAAACTACCTGTTGGGTGCTAGTCTCACTACCTGGGTGCAATATACCCATGTAGCAAATCTACACATGTACCCCCTGTATCTAAATAAAAGCTGAATTAAAACAACAACAAAAACGAATGATGGGTCTTGCCAGACTGCCAGGCTCTGGACACCCTCAGTTCCTTCCCCACTGCTAAGCCAAGTAAACCCACTTCCCATGGTCAGGTCGGCCCCAGTTCTCAGTAATAGCTAAATTAAGGATGGGGAATTTAGAGCCTTAAATTCAAAAGCCTTAGATAATTTCTTTATTAAAAACGGGCAATGAAAATAAATTACGTAGCACTCAACTTAGAAAAAACAATGAAATAAACATCAGGAAAGCACAAGGAAGGAATTGGTTTTAAAAAAAATGCCAGCTAATCAGTTAGAAAATGCAATAACAACAAAATCAATCAATCTACGATCTAGTTCTTCAAAACAAAAAAGACAATAAATTATAACCAAAAAATCCCACTACCTATTCTTATGGAGAAAGTATAAGTATACAAAATGAGAATTAAACCAGGAAATTGTCACAGACATAGAGAAAATTGAAATAACTATATGATCACTTTTCTCAAATACATGAAAATCAATTCACAAATTTAGAGGAAAGCAATTTAGCAATTTCTTGTAAAACTAAACGTGCAATTTACATATATCCCAGCAATTTCATTTAGGCATTTATTCCAGAAAAATAAAAACTTATGTTCACACAAAAACCTGTACACAAATGTTCATAGCAGTCCAACCTCACTTCAACAGGTGAGTGATTAAACAAACTGTGCTACATACATATCACCAAATACTACTCTGCAATAAAAGTGAACAGACTACTGATGTACAATTTGGATGGATTCCCAAGAAATGAGATTGAGTAAAAAAGTCTATCTTAAAGGTTACAAACTGAATGATTTTAGGGATTAAGATATGGACATCCTCGGGGGACCACATTTCTGCCTACCACTGTTGCCAAACTGTAATTGCAGAACCAAACAATTAATTTTTTCAGATTTTGTGCCTCAAAATATTGCCCACTGATTGGTCAAAAGCAGTTTTGAAGGCGGATGTGGCGACACACATATATTGCTTTAGTGATGAGACCTCACATTCTGAGAGAGCCATTTAACAATGGAGTCCACATGTATAATTTTATTTTGAGTTACACAAAACTGGATCCCTCCCAAAGTCACTTGGAAGATTATCCCAATCCTCCCTTCAATGCACAAAGCTGAGAAATGTTCTTCCCTCCTTTTTGAGCCCTTGGGGATGCTCCAGGCTCAGCCATAGTGCCCCCTTTTCTCTGACACCTCTTGAGAGCCCTCAACCCTCCCATCCTACCGGGAAATTCTTCCTTAACTTGAACAGGCTTCTATTATGGCACTTCTGTGGTGGTCTGGGTCTCTGCTTGCTGAGATGTTAAGTGACTGGAAGATCAATATCAGGTTACCTGTCGCCTTGCACTGAAGCCAGAATATTGTGCAGCATAGTGATTACAAGTGTAGCTCTTGAAGCCTCCTCTGTGGGTTCAAGTTCTGCCTCTGCTAAGTACTACATGATCTTAGGCATTTTATTTAAATCGCCTTTCCTATCTCGAAATGAGGATAATGATGGTACATACTAAACAAAACATGGATTTCTGAGAATTAAATGAGTCAGCAGATAAAGAGTAGTTGGTACCTGGTGTATAAAAAGTACTATGTAAGTGTTTATGATTGCTGCTTTAAGTGTTTATTATAAATTCCAAAGTTGGAACTGAATAAAAGTGAACTGAATAAAAGTGAACTGAATAAAAGTTTTGTAGATATGTCTTACAAAATCTTATAAGAATTATTCCTCAAAGAGAAAGAGAGAAATCAGCATTCAACATTCGTAACCACATGGCTATCCTTCCCTCTTAAAAAAAAAGGGGATTTTACTGAATTACTTAAAAAGAAAGTAAAACTGTTCTTACGATGCATTGTTTTCTCATTATGAAATAATTTTTGATGTTCCAAAAGACCATAGTTTTCTTTACATCTCTTCAGCTTCAGAGCTGTTTGTTTCATTTTCTCCAGAAAAGCAGAATTTTAAACTGCACATGATGCAGAAATCAAACAGCCACAATTTATTAAGAAAGAGAGAAAGGAATTCAGAGAACATGGGCATCTCTTTATTTGGACACCTTTGATGATACAGTTAGAAATTCACACTGTGCCAACTAAACCACATGTCCATGAAGTCACAGCAACAATGTCCTCCTAAGTATGTGCTACTTCCATTACTGATATTTTCAACCTGAAATTGCCATGGTTTTGACTTTGATTCCTGGAGGGAAAATTGAGTAAGTCTCAATTCAATTCTTATTCTAGTCATATTAGGTGATATTTCAACATCACTGAACAAATGTTCCATTTTATTACTAAATTATTTTAAGAGTTGTTATTTGTATCTCAAAGTATCACACTTAAAGATGAAGGCTGAAATGTTTCCTAGTGATAAGGAATTTTCCTGCAGATAAATGGGTTTTAATAGGGGAGTGCATAAAGCTAGTTTAATAAATAGCTATTTCTCACTAAGGGAAAAAAAATCAAGCCAACTAGAAACAATAAGCTTCTCTGAGCAATAACATGAGATTAGATGGAGAATATTTCCATTTCATTAGCTAAGATTATTGTGTTTGATTTCATAATCAAGCAAGGAAAAAGTTTGGCTGGTCTCAGAGGTTCATTTCCACTGTTTTAGAAGCTTGGCTAAAAGCTGGCAGAGTAGGTGTGCATTAGCTCAGTACAGAAGAACTGATAACCATTCTAAGCTCTGGACTCTTTCCAACAAGACTACACCCCCTACCAGGGACCCATCACTATTACAAGGACACTCAAATGTTTCCAGCTCCTGATCTCCCTAAACAACATGCAGCATCGTGGCATAGAGCCCTCCCTTCTGGAGAGATAGTCAGGTGTGTGGTGTGTGAGCCCCTCAGTGGACAGAATTCTAAGATGGTCTTCAAGATTTCAGCCACTTGTATAGGCCTAGGATAATCCCCTCCCCTCGAGTGCAGGCAGAATTTGTGAATATGACGGGGTATCAGTCCTGTGCTTATGTTATGTTATATAGCAAAACTAATCTTGCAGATGTAATTAATTAATTGAGGTCCTTAATTTAATTACCTAAAAAGGGTATTATCCTGAGTGGGTTGACCTAATCAGGGGAGACCTTCAAAAGGTCTAAAGGTCAGAGACACAAAAAGTGAAAGAGATAAGAAGCATGGGTGAAATTTATCTTACAGGCCTGGAGGGAGAAAATCACCGTGTTATAGAAAGGGTCACCTGTCAAGAAACGATGGACAGCCTCTAGGACCCGAAAATGGCCCTGGATTGACAGCAAGCCCATAAACGGAGGTTCAGCTCCAAGGAAATTCTGCTAATTAACGTGAGCTTGGAGAGAATCCCAAGCCTTAGATGAGATCATAGGATTGATCCTTCATATTTCTAGGTCCTTCA
Organism: Homo sapiens; assembly: GCF_000001405.40. NCBI lineage: Eukaryota > Metazoa > Chordata > Mammalia > Primates > Hominidae > Homo > Homo sapiens. The sequence goes on along the minus strand of NC_000016.10, from coordinate 76,302,289 downwards.
GCTCTTTTCAAAACTATTGTGAAGTGAAGGGTTAATTTTGTCAGATCTACTTGCCCTGCTTGCTTTTTGTCACTTTCTGTTTTTTGTTTTTTATTTTTCCTTTTTCTATGAAGCTGAAGTCCATGGTAGCTGAAGGCCTCGCCACTGAAGCTGAAATTGTACCTTCCCTGGCTACTTATAGGTGGATATCATTCCTAAGTCACCATGGTAATGGTCGCTTCGGTTGTTTCTCAGAAACTTGGGCCAGCTGCTGTTCAGTTCAAACCAGTAGAGACCACTGGCCTTTCAACTGGGCCTGTGCAAGTGCCCGAGAGGTGGCTTTTTGATGTCAGAGAGCCAAAACTCCACCCTCAGATCATGCTAATGCCACTGTTTTCTGTACATATGTCCTACGAAATGCCATGAACTCTGATTATTCCTGTGCAAAACCAACCTGTCACTTCATTTTTCCCCACTGCCAATCACCTTCCCCATGCCTTAGATCATGCCACTTCCTTAACCCATAAACATCCCTAAGCCTCATCTTCAGGGAGGCGGATTTGAGAGCTGTTCTCCCACCTCCTCACTTGGAGACCTTGCCAATAAATCTTTCCTCTTTTGCAAAACCTTTGTCACAGTGACTGATTTACCCCGTGTAAGCAGAACAGACCTGGACCACGCCAGTAAAAACTGTAACCCTCCCAAAGTCCTGATAACATTTCTTCATTACTAAACCAAGTACTGGTAACTCATGTACTTCCAGGTCTTTCAGTATACATGAGTTCACATACTGTTTGCAAATACCACTATATTAATCGTTAATATTATCTTAGATGTTATGTACCATGCCTTGAATTAGATCATAAATTATTTTAAAATAGAAAACACCTGTTTCAATTCAATTCATTTGCATATCCCACCATGAACCACTTTTGGCCTCAAACACAGTTTTTAAAAAAATTATGTTTAAATTTTTGTTTTTGGATTTTAGAACTTAAAATCATCAGTTGAAAGTAACCCTTGGAGCTATTAATATGATGATGGCTTTACAAGTAGCCACCATTTGTCATTTTGTTTTTCAAGACAGCTGCTTAAAAATTGATCATTCCCATAGTAAAAGACAAAGATCAACAGTCTCATTCAAAAATGCTCTTTTTGTGTGTGTTAATTTTTTATACACTACTCTTACCCACAATTTCCTGGAATTATGAAGACTATGGTATAGTTTTTCTTTGTTTTCATGTCTGTAAGTTATAATTTCCATGTTAGTTCCTATAAAATACTGTTAAACTGACCAAGTATGTACTTGTTCATCACCTAGGCACTCTTTTATAAAAGTACCCTAAAACTTAAAGTATAATAATAATTTAAAAAAAAGGAAAGTGAAAAAAATAAAATAAATAAATAAAATAAAAGATACCCCTTCCTTGACATCCAGGTACTTCCCTAACATATGTCATAGTGTCTAATGTACTGCAAATTGATTTCATGTTTATCGATGAAGACATGAATAAAATAAATTGATGCTTGCCAACGTGCCAATGTTTTGACTGGAGCCCTCTAGAGAAAAATGTTAATTATAGTTACATGTATTGCATGCTATATCTCAACCACGTTAAATCTTTACTACAACTTTGTGAGAAAGATATTCTATTTATTTTCTATATGAAAAATTGAAGGTCAGAGAATTTTAATTTCTTGCTGATGACATTGGTCTCATTTATTTGCCATTCAACATCTTTGTTTTTAATTTATAATTTTTGATTATACTTTAAGTTCTGGGATACATGTGCAAAACGTGCAGGTTTGTTGCATAGGTATACACGTGCCATGGTGGTTTGTGCACCTATCAACCCATCATCTACATTAGGTATTTCTCCTAATGCTATCTCTCCCCTAGACCCCAACCCCGACAGGCCCTGGTGTGTGATGTTCCCCTCCCTGTGTCCAACAGCACAGCTCTCCCATTTTATTGCTTGAACTAGCTATTTCAGCAAGTATTTGAGGACATTGTGCTATGTGGACATGATGTGGGATAGGCAAGATATCTGCTTATAAGCAACAATGGAATGTGTTCTCTTTAAAAGTGATATTCTTTAAAAGTACATCAGTGATATTCCAGATGTCACCTGCAAAAAGTTGCCTTAACTTCTTTTTTTATTATTATTATACTTTTAAGTTTTAGGGTAGATGTGCACAACGTGCAGGTTTGTTACATATGTATACATGCGCCGTGTTGGTGTGCTGCACCCATTAACTCATCATTTAACATTAGGCATATCTCCTAATGCTATCCCTCCCCACTCCCCCACCCCACAACAGGCCCCAGTGTGCAATGTTCCCCTTCCTGTGTCCATGTGTTCTCGTTGTTCAAATCCCACCTATGAGTGAGAACATGAGGTGTTTGGTTTTTTGTCCTTGTGATAGTTTGCTGATAATGATGGTTTCCAGCTTCATCCATGTCCCTACAAAGGACATGAACTTATCATTTTTTATGGCTGCATAGTATTCTGTGGTGTATATGTGCCACATTTTCTTAATCCAGTCTATCATTGTTGGACATTTGGCCTGGTTCCAAGTCTTTGCTACTGTGAATAGTGCCACAATAAACATACCTGTGCGTGTGTCTTTATAGCAGCATGATTTATAATCCTTTGGGTATATATCCAGTAATGGGATGGCTAGGTCAAATGGTATTTCTAGTTCTAGATCCCTGAGGAATCGCCACACTGACTTCCACAATGGTTGAACTAGTTTACAGTCCCACCAACAGTGTAAAAGTGTTCCTGTTTCTCCACATCCTCTCCAGCACCTGTTGTTTCCTGACTTTTTAATGATCGCCATTCTAACTGGTGTGAGATGGTATCTCATTGTGGTTTTGATTTGCATTTCTCTGATGGCCAGTGATGATGAGCATTTTTTCATGTGTCTGTCGGCTGCATAAATGTCTTCTTTTGTGAAGTGTCTATTCATATCCTTCGCCCATTTGTTGATGGGGTTGTTTTTTTCTTGTAAATTTGTTTGAGCTCATTATAGATTCTGGATATTAGCCCTTTGTCAGATGAGTAGGTTGCAAAAATTTTCTCCCATTCTGTATGTTGCCTGTTCACTCTGATGGTAGTTTCTTTTGCTGTGCAGAAGCTCTTTAGTTTAATTAGATCCCATTTGTCAATTCTGGCTTTTGTTGCCATTGCTTTTGGTGTTTTAGACATGAAGTCCTTGCCCATGCCTATGTCCTGAATAGTAGTACTGCCTAGGTTTTCTTCTAGGGTTTTTATGGTTTTAGATCTAACATTTAAGTCTTTAATCCATCTTGAATTAATAAGACGTTGTAACTAATGAAGTTAGAAGTCCCTACCAGGTTCTAGAGAACATCAAGTCACAATCATTAAAGAGGAACTGATTTAATACAAACCACACTTGAATCATTTCTGCCCTACCTGCCCCCACCCAACTCACTATTGGTATTAAACGTCCACCACCCACATATTGTTTGGCTCCACTCCATGGCTTAAAAAGAAAGAGACTGAATGTCTCAGGAAATGTGCCCCTTGATAAGAATGTGGTCTAGGAGAGGATCAGCAGTCCAGTTGGCCAGCATCCCTGCAGGCAACTGAGCCCTTGGAGAGCTCTATATGGCTGCAGCCACCCCATTACTTTAAGGGTGTGTTTACTCCACTTGTTGGCTTTCTGCTTTCATTTCAGATTCTAATGAATTCTTCCGCTTGGGTGGACCCTAGAACTGAGACTCTGGCTGCTTCTCAGCACAGCCCCTTACCTCACACACACACACACACACACACACACACACACACACACACACATACATGTACACACATGTGCACACACAATGAATGGGGTAATCCAAAGAATCTAATTGCCATTCATAAAAGCTAGACTGTTAATTCTAAACTCATTTTCAATTCTACTTTCTCCCACCCAATCAACCTTTCATATGGCTGCTCCAGGAAAATTACATTTTGCTTATTGCATTTTAGTTAAACTTGACTGTTACATTTTGATTAAACACACAGTTCTATTCAGGTTCACTGAGATTATCAGCTTGGAATGGCCTCCAGATGAAGACCTACCGGCTAACCTCCTTGGACTTAAGTGTCCTCTTTGTCTTTATGGCACCCTGTATAAGACCCTAGCACAGTAATTAATAAAACATTAAAAATGTGTGCTCAGCTGTGTAGTTTGAAAGACTGTGGCAGTAGAACAAAAGAGATGGGGAAGATGTAGGGACACTAAAGAGGCAGCCACAGTAATTTGTGACTATGTGAAGAGACGGGTGAAGATAGCAGAAAAACAGAAGGGTCTCTTCAGGTTTCTGATTACGGGTGATAAGAAAAAAAAATAATATGTTTGACATAAAGAGTAGATGAGGAAAAGGAGAAGCAGAGACTATTTCTGATTCTAATTTAGTATCTGGTTTATCAGGTCTTCTTTTATGAAAAATGAAAAAATAAAAGTTTTTAACAGATATTTTTTAATGCTGCAGATGCCAAACAAAATTAAAGAGAGCAAGTTATCTGAAGTTCTTGGATAAAGTATTCTGAAACAGCATGCTGAAGGATTTGCATATAACCAGTAGCCAAGTGAAGGATTGTGTATCTATCTATCATAAGCTTCTGAGCTTCTTTTTGTATAGTAAATGTTGATAAATTTAAAAGATAATAGATTATGTCATAGCCTGAGAACATATATTTCAATGACCCCAGGGGAAATTTCAGCAATAGATTATAATCAAGTAAAGTCAAGTAAATCAAATAAAATTATCTTCTTCCTCAGTACTAAGAATTTAATTTTTCACTGTAACACAACTCGGAGCATGCACATTTGAAAAAACAGCTCCCTTTAATTCTTTAGGGCTGCAACATAATAAATTAAATACATTATTATGATTGAACAAAAATAAATATAAATAGTTATCTTTTATTTTAGTTCATTCAGCACCTCAAGTACTTTGTGATGTGGGGAATTTATATTGCTAGGATCCAAATTCCCAGTCAATATGATTTCAAATACATGTGTATTGGTTTCAAGCAAAATTAAATTGAATAACAGTGTTTTAGAAATGATGAAATCTAAATGCCCAAGAAGATTTAGCTAAACAGTGCCATCAATTAAAATAGCTTTCTAAAGAGCAGTTGTTTGTTTTGTTGTACTTGCAATTCTGATGTCCAAAATGCTAAAACACTTTTTGAAAAAGAGATTTCCCTCTTATGTTTAAGTCTTTTGAGTTCAGTTATAAGTTACTAAAGGTTACTTCTTTACAACTTTGTTGAGTGAAAACCTTCTGGGTTTTTCTTCATGGCTGGATATGTCCAGGGGCATATTTTAAAAATGTAACAGTTGCCAACGGAGAGCAACTGGAAGCCTCAAATGTTTCCTGCCATGGATTTTTAAATCTCATAAGATTTAATGCTACAGAACACACTGGAGAATTAAAGCTCTCTGGAGGGGCAATTATTTCAGCTCTTCTCAATGCTTGGGGTATCAAATATGGTCAATAATTCAATAGCATTCATCTTTGGCTGCTGAATCCTTAGATACAGCAAAAATACTGGATTCAAATTGATGTGGAATTTCCAAAAGTAGTACCATTTGTACCATCATGATTAGCTATACCATTTCTCTTTCTTCTCTCTCTCTCTCTCTCTGCCTCTCTCTTTCGTCCATTTTGAGATCAGCATCTCTATATCTTTATATGCCTGTGTTCTAGAACATACTTCAATATGGCAGGCACTTGGTAAATGTTTGCTTAATTAAATTGAATATAACTTGAAGAACACATTATAAAATTTTAAACTTGCTTTTCCATTTTATCATTTTACCAAATTCTCTTTTTACACATCCAATGATAAATACATAAGCCCTAAATGTATCTTTCCCAAAGCATTGAAATAACTCAGCTATAGGAATTCAGTCTTCTATCATAAGGCAGATGTATTTAATCTTTACTATTTAAGTCAAATGGGTGGGGTGGAGGTAGGTATTTGAATGGAAGGCAGGAAAACATTATAATGCTCTGTGTTGCGGAAGAATCACCTATGAAACCTTCAATTCAGGATAAATTCTTATTCTTGCCAAAAGCAAAATATTTCATTAAAATGCAACAATACATAATGTTAGAAAACATTTTGTATCAGCCTTATTTCAGAAAGATTTTACTCAATACATTACCATGGCATATTCCTCAAACATTGCATTGTAGAAATCACACACAATCTCAAAAAAGCTTTTAAATACGATCCTTTGTAGAGAAGTTTAGGAAGAGAGTTTCAAAAAATGAACACACTTAAAATTTCTTATTCAGTAGCTGGCCATGGTGGCACATGTCTGTAATCTCCGCTAGTCTACTTGGGAGGCTGAGGCAGGAGAATCGCTGGAACCCAGGAGGCAGAGGCTGCAGTGAGCTGAGATTGCACCACTACATTCCAGCCTGGGGGAAAGAGCAAGACTCTGTTTCAAAAAATAAATAAATAAATTCTTATTCAGAAGAATAGTAGCTACATACAAAAAGCATAGTACATCCTTTGGAAGATATAAGCACATTTATTGTAATACAATAAAAAGCAAAAGCCACCAACTTGAATTGGCCACTCCTTCCTCTCACATGTCACTACTTTCCGACAGCCATGACGTGCTGTCAGTCCTACGTGCTCATGTGGAACAACTCTGTTGTTGCCTGTTCTTTATTAGCATTGTCACTGTCTCTGTTTTTCTGTAGCTCTTATTACTTTTTACAGGAGTTAGTTCACCAGCTTAATATCTAGTCTCTGTGGACTCAAGTTAGACTCCATTTCCTGTTTTTTATCATTCCCATCCTTCACCCTCCTGAGAATTTTAAGTTTATAAAAAGCAAATCTAATCAGTGTCACACACATGTGCATGCATAACACTTATAGTAATAAAATGACCCCTCAAGATTCTGGATCAGATCCTTAGTCCTTAGCTTTACCTACAGGATTCCTCATGACCTGGCCACTTCTGAACATTTTTGTCCTTCTGCACTACTGTGGTGCATTCAAAGACTCCATGCTTTTGTGGACCTCGCTATGATGGGCATGTGTTTCCGCCTTCTTTCCTCATCTAGCTGTCCTATTCATCCTTCAGTAAACACCTTTCACTGACTCCCACTGCTCACATCTGATGTTCTGCCTGTGACCACTCCAAATATTGTGTATGCCTCTCCCTCATTGCACTTACCACACTGTGCTGTTTTTCTACAGGACCAGGAAGTGGCAAAGCTGAGCTTTAAGCCAGGGTGAGCTGTAAGAGCACAGCCTCTGAGCACATTGCCTGTAAGAACACCGGCCCCCCTATAAGCACCTTAAACAATACAATACATTTTGTCTTAAGAAAAAAGCAAAACCTTCAGCATAAAATGTGGTCACAAAAGCATTGTGTATCTGAGAGTCGAAACTTCTGTTCTCAATTGCGAGCAAGAATTTACAGATTGAGACCATAATAACATTTCAAGAAAACTGGTGCTGAAGACATGTGTAATGACAGGTACCACAATGTGGAGGCTTACTAACTATTTGTTGAGTGAATAAATGAATGAAATGTGCAGAGTAAAGTGAAACCCCAAGAAGTTGCAGAAATTACTATGTTTTGGAACACTTTAATAGACTGAATGAATAATAGCCCAACCCAGAGAAGAGTGAGTGTATGAAACCAAAACTATCCAAGGAATGTAAAAAATATTTTACTAAGAAATTTTTTAACATATTTAGTTTCTTTCTTTCTTAGATACAATTCACTGAATCATCAGTGTCAATGGAAAAATAACCAGAGTCCCAAAGTGTGCTATTACAGAGTACATTTAGCATGAAACATATTCAGCCAGTGTAATTCTTGGGGATAAATTTTTAAACTATCACTTCATAGGTAGGTGAAAAATATAAAAACCCATCTGATGTCAACTCTAGTGATATTACTGGTTATTTATTGATTTTTAAGAGAAATGAGAGGAAACACACAGGTTACCAAATAAGTCAGAATTGTATTAGATCAGGAATCCATACTGAAGTGTAGTATGGATCACAGTCTGCTCTTTGTTAGAGTTACTTTTTGTCTTCTCCATTTGCTTGTGGGTCCCTGAATAGCAGGGATTGCGACACATTTATCATCGTACCTCACCACCCTGACTGGAAGAAGAAACTCACATGTAGCTGTTTCAGAAGTTGAATGAGTGGGTTTCTTACTCGCTCTCCAAAATCTCTGATAATTTATTTTCTGTATATCACACTGGAAGTCCACTTAGAAATAAGAAGTGTCCCTGAAATGGAAACTAGATAGACAGACAGGGACTTTCTCTGTTTGCCTCTCTTGCTCTGAGAAGAATGGATGTCTTAGGAAATGACTGTAGAACATAAAGAGAAAGGCTAAATACAATTCTCGGTTCAAACCACACTACTAAAAATGCTACATTCAGTCACGGGCATCAATTATATCCTTTTTTTTAAAAAAAAAAAAAAAAGCAGCTTGTTCTTAGATGCCATGATTTGCACCTCTAAGATCAGCCACTTGCTTGTACTATTTCACCTGATATTTTGCCTAGCATATGAAATGTGATTAAATTCTTTTATTTTCAACAATGTCCAGTAAGTTCCAAGCAAAGAGCTATAAAACTATGAAGAGATGCTCTGTCAAGTGATCCCTTAAGTGCAGTCACTCAAATCCACCTAAAAATTGATTATACAAATTAAGAAGAAATTCATTTCAGAACAAATTAATTAATTCCCTCTGAAATCACTTTCCCTTAATATTTTGTTACTTGTGTAAACCATACACAAGTAAATAGACAGGTAGATAGGAAGAAAACTAGAAAACAGCTCATAAATATTGTTATATCAAAGAAAATATCATTAAAATTACGATCACATTGCTTTGTTTGATAGAGCAAATGCTTAAAGGTGCTTGTGAATAGTGAAAAACGAGATCACGAGGTCATCAAGACCATCCTGGCCAACATGGTGAAACCCCGTCTCTACTAAACATACAAAAATTAGCTGGGCGTGATGGCACATGCCTGTAGTCTCAGCTACTCAGGAGGCTGAGGCAGGAGAATCGCTCGAACCCGGGAGGTGGAGGTTGCAGTTAGCCGAGATTGCACCACTGCACTCCAGCCTGGCAACAGAGTGAGGCTCCGGAAAAGAAAAAAAAAAAGAAAGAAAGAAAAAAGAAATATTAAGAGCTTCAGGCATAACTATAAAGAGAGCTGGGCTATACAGGTGTATAGGGGTTAACAGTCTAAGAAAGAGTGAGGTAAAACGTGGCCTGAAAGTCTCTGATATTTTTCTTTTTTGAAAGTGGCTGGAATTAATCAGTAGCACTACTCAAAAGCATATTTGATATTTTACAGAATCATATTCACTCTCCAGGAGACTGGCTTAAGTAGCACTGGTTCTGGTTTAGCAATGGAAACAGACTTCTCATTCAAAATTCTAAATCTGAAGTGTTTTCTTTTTCATTTTGATGTTCATTAAATATAGGTTGCTGTCCCTGATAAGCAGAAAGTAGAAGTATTGAGAAACACTAGTCTGTTTTCTTAAGATGCCTATTTTTTCTTCAAAAAGACAGAAAAAAAAATATTTTTGATAAGGAAGACAGAAAACTCTATGATGCCAGAAGGAAATCAAAATCAGTACCAAGAGAGGAATGATACAGCAGTTAGGAGGTCCTACCCATAAATAGTAAATCATGCCTCTGGAGAAGACACTAGGCTGATGGTTACAACCGAAAACCTGCATTTGCAGCAGCCTATCAGAGGCCACAGGCACTGAGCTCCAGAGAGGAACACATGTAGGGAAGATTGGTAATGCCGCTGAGGGCTGGAGAGACAGCTGTGCCTATAAATGACAAGACCAATTGATGAGTGAAAGGGTTTCCTGGAGGGTGACAGATGCACTTCTGAGATCCGTCATACATGACAGTCTGTACCCACCACCACAGGTTCATGGTTGAACAAATGATAGTGCTCGAAGAGGCAAGGAATTATCTTTAAGTGCCATAAATTCTTGAGCAGGAAGGGGAGGGGTGCAAGGAGACAGTGGTAACGTTACATTTCTCCTTCCAAAAGAAATGTGGACTCTTGCAAGACAAAGTTGGATGACATTGAACAGTTCATGACATTGACATTTGCAAATGGGTTAAGATACCGTTATATTAGAGAAATACAAGAATCTTAAGGGAGCCATATACTACTACAAGCAGATGCTGATAGACTGAGAAATCAAAAAATAAGTCAATGGACAACCAATGAGTTCAAAATAGAGGAATGTTTAAATAAAAGTATATCCACTTGATGGGCTACTGTGAAACCTTTGAAAAGATAAATCCAAAGGCTACTTAGCCACAAGAGAAATGCACTGGAAAGGATGGGAAAGCATGCGTATGAGAAAACACTGGGCATGAACAGATGCTGTGCTAAGATTGACTGAAATAATGTATGGCAAGCATCTGTCCCAGTTCTCAATTCGTGGAGGGCATCCTACAAATTTAAAATTAGATGATAAATTTTAAACTGACTTTTCAAAACTTACTAGAAAGATTATTGTTTGTTTGCTTTATTTATGTTTTATTTGTTTGTTTTTGACTAAGCATAGAATGTATCACAGGAAGAAGGAGGAGGAGCTGTGTGTACTGAGATTTACTGATTACGAAGTGGGAAAGTGCCAGATAAAACAAACTGTACAATCAACTTTTGAGAAGGGGATATGAGAAACACACAGAGCAAATCACAGCACAACTGGAGCTGGGTAACATACAGAAGAAAGTACTTTGGAAGGGGATAAAATAATACTTGTGATAATGGCTATGGAAATGTTGGGATATCAGAAACTCTTGGGTACTAGAGGCACCTAGACAGCACCAGGTGCAGATAAAAGCAAAGAGAAAAAGAAGGGATAGATAGTGGTACCCCCATGTCCACCAGGCAGTGGTGGCTGATGGATGAGAATGCCATGCCATTGATCTCGGCAATGCACTGAACCAGGATTCAACTTCAGGATGACTCCACTCAGCTGTTAAGTTTTAACCTGTAAAAGCAATGTATCTACTGTTGAACTTTCAAAAATTGTTTCCCAATACTGAAAAAAAGCAATGTAATTTAGACAGTTGCAACAGTGAGAGCACCTGTTATGGACTGAATTATACCCCCCACTCCACAATTAATATGTCAAAGCCCTAATCCCCAATGTGACTTTATTCAGAGAGAGGGCCATAACAGGAGGCAATTATGTTTAAATGAGGTTGTAAGGGTGAGGCCCTAATCCAATAAGACTGGCCCCTTATAAGAAGAGTAAGAGACACCAGAGATATCGCTCTCTCTCTCCCATGTGCACAAAGGAAAGGCCACATAAGACACAGCAAGGAGGTGGTCATCTGCAAGTCAGGAGGAGAGGCTACACCAAAAACCAACCTAGATGGCATTTTGATGGACTTTTGGCCTCCAGAACTGTGACAAAATTAATGTACATTGTTTAAGCCACTCATTCTGTGGTATTCGGTTATGGCAGCCATAGAAGACTAATATGGCACCAAAGGGAATATGTCTCTGAACATCGGGAAGGAGTGAAGCTTTTATGGAGGAAAGGAACAAAACTGGTAGAATGCCTTGGTCAGGCAGTGCTGCAATCTTGCAGAAAGGAGTTGGATTTTCTTTGTGATTTAGGCTGTTTCAACCACTTACCCTTTTCTTGAAATTGTTGACTCAAAGAAGGAATTTAGAGGAAGTGAATAGGTCTTTGGGTACCAAGAAGCAAGCAGGACAGTGTACACTCAGAGGAGAAAACGTTAGTTATCTACATGAGCGAGTGCCTGCCACTTCACTCCGACTAATCAAAAGGGGCTTGTTGTTAAGATGAAAGTGACAGATCCTTGGAAAAAAGAGGAAGGAATGAGCATATGTGGTATATGGGTTCTTAGAATTTACTATCGTGCCAGAGCGAGAACCTTGAGAATGAGCATGTGTGGTTTTGATATTCAGGAGAGGAGATTTCACAGATGCAGGGAGAAGATGGGCACTTTCCATTTCAAAGAACAATGGATTTTGGAGTCATTGGGTCTAAGCCTCATTTTTGTTCTTCCTTACTCAGTAGCTTTGGAAGCACCTTCTAAATTTGTTTCCTAGTTTGTAAAATAATCATAGTAACACTTGTCTCACAGGCCTGTGTGAGAATAAAATAACACAGGGCACACTTCACCACCTTGGAGTCCACAGAGCCCACTGCAAAAGGAATATTTGTCATTATTAATGATAACATATGTCAACATGCATGAAAAGTTATGACTATAAACTTCTGGCAATAAAAATCACAAATGTGTACCATGAGGAGGATGAAACGTGAGCAGAATCTAAATACAAGTGATGGGTTTTACCAGAAAATAATAAAAGGAACATATGTGCAATTAAGAGAGGAAAATAAGGACAGGTGCGGTGGTTCATGCCTGTAATCCCAGCACTTTGGGAGGCTGAGGCGGGTGGATCACTTGAGTCCAGCAGTTCAAGACCAGCTTGACCAACATGGTGAAACCCCGCCTCTACTAAATGTACAAAAATTAGCCAGGCATGGTGGCAGGTGCCTGTAGTCACTACATGGGAGACTAAGGCAAGGAGAATTGCTTGAACCTGGGAAGCAGAGGTTGCAGTGAGCCGAGATTGTGCCACTGCAATCCAGCCTGGGAGACAGAGCAAGACTCTGTCTCAAAAAAAAACAGGCGGAAAATAAAAGTTTGGAACTCATTAATGCTGGTAAAAAAAAAAAAAATGCTAAAGGCAATGAAAAGAAACATCTTGCATATGTTTGTAGGCAAAAGAAGGGCAAGGAGGCTGTGGTCACACTGCTTTGTAAAAGTTAATAATGAAAAGAAAAAATAGAGAATGAATTTTATTTTTCTTCTACCCTATGTGAATGAGAAAAGTCTTTAAAGAGAAAATGGAAAATAAAAACCAATACAAAAGACTTGAAGTCCAAACTGGATGGAGTTGAAAATTTCTTCTCATAATGTGGAGAGTAATTTTCAGTACTACTTTCAAATTGCTAGAGATGATCGGGCACGTGCTACAGGCATAGGAAGACATGAGGATGGATTGGAAGTAGCTGATGCTGTTCCAATTTTATTTTATACTCATGATGTATCTTTTGTTTGTCTATTGAGAGTCCTCAATCCAAAATAATTTGATGTAGTGGCCTATCAAATTACATTTGCTATAAATTTTTTTTTTAAAAGGTGAGAGGGAAAGGAAAAGAGAGATAGTGAGAAATAGTAAGAATAGGTTGACCAGGAGAATATGTACCATAATGGATTATGACAGACTAGAATATGTATGCAACCTAATGAAATGAAATGGAATAGAGTTAAATACAAAGTCAAAGTTTTAAAATGATAGCAAAAATCAATGGGATCCTAAATAAAAAGGACGTTTAAATCACCAAAATAACACAATTTTCCAATTTGTCTAGCCTGATTCTGTTCATCTTCTCTGTTTTTGGTGTTTCAACTGAAAAAAAATACAAATTATCATCCATCAACGTATTGTTTTCCCATTTACTGAATATGCTCTTTATTCCAGGCACTGTGCTAGATGTTGCAGATACTGAAGTGATTAACATAATACTTCTGTCTTTCAAAAATTTCAGTTTTGCAAAGGAAACTTTTTAAAAATCCATTTTGATAGTCTATGATCAGGGCAGGAATAAGCAAACATTTGAAGTGCTATGAAATTTCTGCTAGAGAATGATTAAAGTTGAGGTGGTGAGACTCCATGGACAAAGGAGATGAGGCTTGTTTTGGGTAGACATTTTCCAAGAGGTTTTAGAGTGAAGTATTTGAGGGTAATTTACGCAAAGGGAACAACAGATGCAAAGGCCAAGAAATGAAGAGTAGAGGACACAGGGGACACCAGGATTGAAGAAGAAAAAGCAGTGTATTAGTTTGCTCTCATGCTGCTATGAAGACATACCTGAGACTGAGTAATTTACAAAGAAAAGAAGTTTAATTGACTCACTGTTCTGCATGGCTAGAGAGGCCTCAGGAAACTTAAAATCACGGCAGAAGGCAAAACAGGCACGTCTTACATGGTGGCAGGCAAGAGAAGACTGAGAGCCAAGTGAAGGGGAAAGCCTCCTATAAAACCATCATATCTCACGAGATCTCATTCACTATAACAAGAACAGTATGGGGACAACCGCCCCCATGGTTCAATTATCTCCACCTGGTCCTGTCCTTGACACGTGGGAGTTATTACAATTCAAGGTGAGATTTGGGTGGGGGAAATAGAGCCAAGCTATATCAAGCAGTAAAGACAGACAAAAGTGGAAAGATCAGCAAGTACTGAGTAGGAAGACATTTGTTTGCCATGTTCATAAGCCTCAACTTAATGTTGGATGTGCCTAACAATGAAATATAGCTGCAAGGCAAAACTTGCTTTTTCTTAAAATCTGTACCTTTGGTGAAATATAACAGTACATTATGTCAAGCTTACCTAAAACTACAATAATATGTGTAGTAGGTAAAATATTGTATGATATAAAATGGAGTGAATCAGGGTCACAGGGAGCAGTGAGGAAGGAAGAGGGAACAGCTGCCTTACCAGCCATCTCAGCCAAATCAACCCTGGCCATCGCTAACACGACAGATGTCACAGCCAGATCATCCTCATATCCAGGAAAATGAAAAAGGAAAATGATCACAGGAGGCTCGATTTTGCTAACTCAGAAAAACAGAGAACTTCCTGACATCTTCTCTAGAGAATGTTTCAGTGATTAATGGTACTACCTACATACTTTCATGCTAATCTGGTTCATGTTGCAATTATACATAAATATAAAGAAACTATCCCACAGGCAAGCACATAGCAAAGCTTCCAAGAAACCAATGTGATCATTTACAAAGAGAACAGGTTAAAAAAATGAATCAGGCTGTTTTGCGTGTTAAGCGTAGCAAATTATGGTGATCACAATTTTATTTTTAGTAGCTAAAATTCTACATTAGCCTCCTTTTTCCATTCCCCTAGTATGTATTTGACCATGAAATGTTTTGTTTTATCATGTTTCATTTTGTGATAAAGGATGCTAGGAGTTTAAGAAACTAAATGTTATCTACAGTGTTTGCTCTTTGCTTTCTTAAATGTACCCTAGTTCTTTCCTCAAATTATTGCTATTTTTTGTATATTTGTTTTAGAAAAGCTTACATCTTTTGATACTTAAGAGGTAGTGTTATGAAGCTGTATGTGAGCATGAAGTTTTCTTAACAGGATTGTGACACAGTTGTCATGTTAAAGTACAGCAGTTCAAATAAGCACAGAAATCATACACACTATGAAACAAAAGAGCCTAATTGAGCAGCTTTACAACCTTGCATAGAATTCCCTCATCACCAATTTAGATAGAATTGCTTTTATTTTAGCAATGTTCTTTTAATTAAGTCCTAAACATCTAAAACATGGCAAATGTAAATATGTATTATAAATCCTTAATTATGAGGATCACTAAGCATTCTTGCAGCTTTCTGCCTTGGACATAAATTCTTTTTGTTTAAAATCAGCCAAAATTGAGAGATAAAAGTGAAAGATGTGAAAAAATGTTCAACTTTGTTTATCATGCCCTTCTCTTGCCACCCGTATCACTTTACCGCATTGTCTTCAGGAGTTAAATTATGCTTCAATTTATCTAGTGATTTTTAAGCCAAAATCTCTCCCAACATATTCTGCTTCATTGCTAGGTTCAGAAAGACTAGCACCCACGGTGGGAGAAGAAGTTGAGTTAACTACTGGGGATCCTGAGGTCTTTACACCGAGTCCTAGAAAATAAAGATCTTTGAGATCGCAAAAGGGTAATATCACTTCTCTGTTTGGGTGAATTTAAACTAGAGCCAAGAAGACCTCTTGCTAATTTTTAATCCCACATACTGGTTTAAAAGCATACTGGAGACTACTCTGGTATGGATAGCAAATATGAAGCAATCTTATTCTACATCCCATCACTATTTAATTCAAAATGTGCCACCTAGGGGCAATGCTTTCTATTTCCCCTACCAAAATGGTCTGTTTTCCAATTCCCACCCACAGTTATCTTCACACACACACACACACACACACACACACACACACACACACACACTGATAATTCTATCTCAGCAACTCATTTCCCTTAAAGACCACTTTCAATCTAGTTCCTTTTTTGTCCTTGGTCAGTCGTCAGCTGACCAGCAGATTTTAAAATACCAATACATAGTATCTTTGAATACTGAAGACAAGTCTTAAAGATATAAATCTACATGCACTCTTTTAGAGCAAAGCTATTAGCCTAGAAATTTGACTTTCTCAGATTTTCCAAGAAATCCCTCTATTGGGCCTGGTATAGCAAAGGCAATTGCTTTATATTGATGGGAAAATGTGGGGGTCTCTGTGGTGGGCCAAGGGAATCAAATGTCTGTTCAAGGTCATCCAAGCAACTATCAACCCTAAGGCTTACAACCAATTGCTAGGAGAGTTTATCCGTGTCCTTATTCAAAGGACATTGAAAAAAATACTTCCGTAGGTCATAATTGCAGAGTAAGTCCATTAATGAAATTACAGGTTATAATTTTTCTAAAAAGTATACAATAAACGTAATTTAGGAAGGCAGGTGAATTTATATATTTACATGGTGCTTTTAAAGTAATATCAACCTATGACCCCATTTATAAGTATCATAATTGCCAGTGGGAAGAAAATGGTTACAGAAACTAATATGTCTTTTACGATTTAGAAGCCCATAATATCTTATTCTAGAGCACTGCCAAGTAATGAGAGGTACTTAATAAAAAAAGCAATTAGAGCTATAGGCCAACTGATAATATCACACCATTTTTTTCCGTTGTGATTTAAAAACCTTGGAGATAAATTTCATCACTGCTCTATTAAATACTTATGGCATTAAAAAATTTTATAGTTACTAATTTTGAACTACTTAAAATGTCAAATGTTTTCAGGCTTCACTCACTTCTCCAATTATTACATTGGAATGACTCATTAACTGTAACATAAACAGGCTCATTTTTACCTGCTGTTATGCTATTTTCCCAGTTTTATTACTAGAGTACCACTTTTCCATGAACCATAATGAAAATTCACTGGAAGGAGGGGAAAAAAAACACCCAAGCATATCCACTTCCTCTTCCAAATACCAATGTTCCATGGGCAAACTGAAGCAATAATGATAACTTGTAATGCGTTTGGCATGTACATTCTTTATCATTACACAGTTCTGTAGTTTTTCACTAACTACAGAACTATGTAACTGTAGTTAGTAACTATGAACTAACTATGAAGACCCTAACAAAAGACGTTTTGGAAAAAATCTTTGTCCTCCAAAAGTCAATTAAGAAACAAAAGTATCTTTGCTTGTGCAATTATATGTCAGATTGGTCTTTACCAACACAGAGCCATCAGCCCCCTGAAGTAATCAGCACTTTGGAGAGCCTAAAAATCATAGATTAAAAACAAGGAAAGCCAGTTTCAAAAGTCAAATAAATGCATGCATACACATACAGGCATGCATATTTAATTGCAATACACAGACAATCACAGCTTAAGAGCTCATGGAAGAAATTTAAGTGTTAAACTCTTAGACATCAAAATTTTCCCCAAAAATATAAGAAGACAATTCAACAGTCAATGACATTTTTGTTATTTAGAGATACAATTTGTTGTAACTTAAAATTATGGGTAAACTACTATTTCTTAAGATTTTAAACCCTGTTTTTAAAACCCTGAATCCTTCCAATTCCAATGTTAATCTTCTGGGTAAACTACTTCATTTCAGTGTTTTCAGTTAATCACAGGGTCTCCAAAACTCTGTAATTTTTGTCTGCATGAGGTTTGGGGCATTTCTTTCACTTTCTGAGATTTTTCTTTTTAAAGTGATCAAAATCAAACTGATATTAGCATTTGATGCTACAACTCAAGACCTGTTCTTGAAAATCTGTTAAAGAGTATTCCTAAATATTCCTAACTGAAATACCCATGAAAACAATCATCCATACATTTTATAAGAATTTGCATGCCACCACCACCCACAACATAGGAACATCATGCAACAATATAGGAAACATCTCCTATTTAAGCACATACACTGTGATGGGTCAACCCTTCCCTATCATACTAGTTAATTTGAAAAATATAATTTCAATGATTATAGATAAATTCTAAAGTTGAGGTCAAAATTATTGAATGAATAAAAATGAAAAATAAGCTATAAATAATAATTGAAACACTAGAGCATGGAAGACAATCAGGTCAAAGTCTGCATGATTTAATATTTCATCAGATATATTCAACTAACAATCTGAACATGCACATAACAATGTTGGATGCATTTTTCTTACTCTTCCTACTGTTTTCAGGAGCTAGATCATTCTGTAAACTTTCAGTCAGTGAAAACAAAATGAAAATATTTTTTAAAGGATAGTGAAGGACTTCTTTTGTTTGTTTAACTTTTATTTTTTAAGTTCAGGGGTACAAGTGCAGGTTTGTTACATAAGTAAACTTGTGTCATGGGGGTTTGTTGTATAGATTATTTCAACACTCAGGTATTAAGCCTAGTACCCATTAGTTATTGTTCCTTATTCTCTCTCTCCTCCCACTCTCCATCCTCCAAAAAGCCCCAGTGTGTGTTGTTTCCCTCTATGTGTCCATGTGTTCTCATCATTTAGCTCCCACTTATAAGTGAGAACATGCAGTATTTGGTTTTCTGTTCCCTTGTTAGTTTGCCAAGAATAGTGGTCTCCAGCACCATCCATGGCACTACAAAGTATGTGATCTCATTCTATTTTGTGACTACGTAGTATTCCACGGTGTATATGTACCAGTTTTCTTTATCCAGTCTATCACTAATGGGCACTTAGGTTGATTCCATGTCTTTGCTATTGTAAAGAGTGCTGCAATGAACATACATGTGCATGTGTCTTTATAACAGAACGATTTCTTAAACAACCTGGGACTAATTGGCAACCTAAAGGTCATATGATTCATTAGTGAACAATATTAAGGCCTCAATATTGTTTAATCTGAAGTAGAATAGCTTTAAATTTTAAACATAGTATTTAAACAAGAAAAATCGGTATTTGTAGAGCAGAGCTGATATTCTATTTTTAAAAACTCAAAGCCATGTAATGCCAATGTCATTATCCCTAATCGTTGTCTACTTACAGTGGATGATCACGAATCTCATCACAATTCCTTTGACACTCAGAGAAAGTCATATTTCAGTTAAGCTCTTTGAGACTATCCTAGTTTTTTTGGTGGGGGGGTTTATTTTCTTTTTGGAAATTGGCCTTTTGATGAGACTTAGAAATCTTCATTTAAAGCTGAAGCACTAAAAACAATATAATGAAAAAATAAACTATTTTAACAAGTGACCATTTGTTTTGAAAAAAAACTGAAAAAATGAAAATGGGTTTTTAAATGATATTACATCATATTTTTAATTTAATTTTTCAAAAAACTGTAGGAAAAAGTATAGCGTAAATAAAATGGGGCCAAAGATCAGTTCCTGGAATTCTAAAATAAATACAATTTCAAATACACAAACCATTTACCCAGAAATTTATTATTGACAAGGGTAAGTGAAAATCACTTGCTTAAATATCATGAGCTCTTAGTGGGCAGTGCTTAAATGAAAATCTATTTTTCAGTTTATTCTAGAAAGTTGGCCAATTTCAGAATTTTTAGAAAGCTGCTGCTTTAAAAGTCACAGGAGCAAAAATACTCTTCTATCAAAAACATTTTCCTCATATGATCTTTGATTCCAAATGTAAGTTGCTGATTAAGATAGAGTGGAATATTTTATACTCATGAAAATGTAAAATAACAGCAGAATTTTTGTTCAAAACATCTAAGTTGCAATTACTTGTACAGTTAATTGAACTTATATTACTTATATACTTCATTGAACTTATATTACTTATATATTTCATCAAATATCTTATCCTAACAAGACCACTTGAGATTAAAACTGTGGGAATTTTACAAATAATTTATACCCACTGAAATATCAAGATTTTTGAACAATAAAGTCTTTAAGAAAAAACATACAAGGAAACATTAACTTGAAGATATCCTCTGTTACAGTTCCTGGCAATAATAGCATTGCGTTCAGTACCACAACTCTGCAAGTATATATTTGTGTGCTAAATAATTAAGACTAAATTTTATCATAGAAGTATAATTTATACACTTTTCATGTCTTATCATTTTATTGTATATTATTTAAATAGGGGTCAATTAACTTTTTATATAAAGTGCCAGAGAGTAAAGAATCTTATGTAAGTAGTTACATAGTAAGAGGGTAAACAATCTTAATAAAATTTAATTGATAAAATTCAAAATATAATACTAATATTTGAGTAGAAATTTTTGTCATGCAGGTTTACTAATAAGTGGAAGAATAAAATTTGAATTTCATATAATTATTTTTTACCATGAAGAATTCTTCTTTTAATTTTTTTCAGCTAAAAATGGAAGAACTATTCTTAGCCCATGGGTCATACAAAAACAGTCACTACTAGCAGGTCAGATTCAGCCCATGGGCCACAGTTTACCAACCTGAGTTAAATATTTTATTATCTTATGATAGATGTTATATAATTCTATTAATCTATTTTCTTTAACAAAAGTCAATTTAATCTTGATATACTCATTAGCTCCAATACAGAAATTGCTTACATATGATATAAATTCCAAAATTAATTTTACAAGACAATAATCTTTATTTCCTAGAGTAAGCACCAGGTATTATGTGAAAGTTATGTTTGATCCCCATGTTGGCCCATGAGTCACGTTATCTCCAGAGCTAGAGGCTGCCTTTATCAGAGATTATTGAGATGCATGTAATAAGAAGTGGAGAAAATGGACTGAATAGATGAAAATAAATCACCATTGCTATTAGAAAAGTGAGTCAAAGTACGTGCTGATCTTTATAGGGGCTAGCCATTTATGCATTGCCTCATAGAATTATATTTTATCAGTACTTTACTATTGCATTCTAGTTATTTTCTGCTATAGGAGTAAATATGGTGGGGGGAGGAAAAGAAAGTAGCTTCTAGAAAGAATTACAAGGTTGAGTTTTAACAATGTGAGAATCTGTCCAGCTGTCTCCCAGGACCCACAAGAGTGATCATCTACTTAGGCAATTTGCCTTCATCTATCCTTCAGTGCTTCTTTTAGGGTAGGTATCAGATACGGCCTTTATTTCCATCAGAGAAAAGAAAGAACACAGTGAGATGTTAACTTCTAATTAAGTCATTGGGGAGCATTAATTATTCTCAAGAGTACGGCTCAGTATACCAGTAACTAGAGAGCCTCCCTCACATAATCTGCAAGAGTTAAAATAAAAGCAAACTCTTATCAGCCTTACTACTGTACCCATTCCTTCTTTTGGGGTAAGTTGACCCCATCTTCAACCATGTCTTAATGTTCAAAAACTGGATTTATAAGAGCTATTAAAAAATAGAGAAATGTCTCTGTTCTTAATGCATGTCTCTTAGTAGCAAGCAAAGAAACCAAGAACAGCCAGTGCAGCTTCTCAAAGAGCACACCCATCTGCAAGGATCCGTCTCTAAACTTTGATGGAAGGGACACTTCAATATAATTGTAAAAGCTCATCTTGATGAGAACAAAGAGAAAAAAATTATGGCTAGTCCACTGCTTTTGAAATGTCAGACAGGATACTAGTAGGCAGGGAGCGTGGTTCATTCAACATATTTCATCTTTAGACAGATAAGTACTTAACAGGGCCACCAAAAATATGCAAGCACATGAGTCTAGTAGTTTACAGATATCTACATACACATATACGTATATACAAATGAGCACGAGTCTAGTAGTTTAGATATCTACATACACATATACCTATATACAAATGAGCACATATACATATATGTGAACATATATGTTTGTCTTTGAACAGAATCCTTCTAATGTAAAGTTTCCCTGCTGTTTAATTGGATCAATTAACATTCAAATTAAAGTGCACCTAATCCCTGAGCTGTACTGGTTTTGCAGAGTTCTGTCCCATGAAAGCTTTCAAACTGGCAACCTTGGGCTGACTCTGTAGATGACAGATTTGCTCCTGGCTCATCAGCTGTAAATAAAGGGGAAAAGTCTTTCTAGTCCTTTAATTTTATTTATTTATATTCAGTTATTTCCAATATTACTATTGGTAGTCAAGACTGACTCACTTTTTCTTAATATAAAGTCTTGTCCAGAAGAATTATTGGAGTCATTATAATACTTTAGAAATGCATATGCTGGTTGATAGTTGCTTGTCCTTACACTAAATTCCAGTCTTGCTGGGAAATATATATACACTTGTCCTTCCAAAAAGGATGAAACATATGAAGTACTTTCCACCATGGCTTGGTACAAGTAGACCTTACTTCTTCCAAAAAGAAAATACTTCTTAAATATTGAAAAATGAAATAGAAATTGAGAAATGAAATATTTTCTTTTACACATACTGCTGCAAATCATATTGTCAAAATATTCACAATAAATTACTGAGTGCAACTTTAATTATATAAGGTCATTTCATTTTATTTTTGACACTTGAAGAACAGTCAACTCCACATGCATGGTAAGCAAGAACTCCAACTTTAAATGTTTTTTATAATGAAAAATCGTATAGGTTTTGCAAGTTCATCAGATGTTTAAAAGAGCATTAGACTACTTCCTTAACAAACCAAGGCTGAAAGAATATAGAACCAGCACTGAAATTTTAAGTGTCAGTGAGGGATCCAACCAGAGCCAAGCAGACATAAATATTACACTCTCCTCAGATCTCTTTCAGCACCTTTTCTTTTCTAAGAAGATATATGGCAAAAGAAAGCTATTTAATGTTGATGTACACCCTACACTTTTTATTGAGCTTCAAGAAAACAAGCAAACATAAACAACTAGCAGCCCAAATAATTAGATTAATGTATTTTAAACCCAACTACAGGCAGTCTAGTGGAAAGACTGAATGGAGTACAGGCCAGATTTAAGCTCTGCTTTTCTTGAGGGAAGGATGCTTGGGGTGATGTGCTTTACATTGTAAGAGTGACCTCTAGTGCTTTTCTTTTTGGTTGAACTTTAGTGGTTGGAAGATGAATTACTTATGCCTTTTCTACAGAACTTCCATTTGTGTGTGGGTGTTGTTGTTATTGTTTGCTTGTATGATGCAATGTTTTTCTAATGCTACCATTATAAGATTCCAAGGTTTTGACTAGGTGAAATTATACATTTTATTGACTTATGAGATTATCACAACACTCAAACTAAAGTTGAATCTGATGTGCAGCACCTGAAGTGAGGTTCCTTCTTTCAGAGTGATGGATACCCTGTGACATTAAATGAGCCCATTCTGAACTGAAACACGAAATCACGGGAGCCAGGTACTGTGAGGGGACATTTGACTTGTGCCCATGAGTTTGTCATGTTTTTCACATATCAGAACTCTTAACATAGTCAAGTGATATGCCATAGCAAATGTCTGATTACTGCCTCTGTTCCCCAAATCTAAGCCTGATGATACAGCAGCAACATAAATTCCTGGACAGGCCTCATAGCCAGTTCTTGGAAAGCAAATGAGCTTTTCCTTTAAAATCCAAGAAAAAATAAAAAGTTGTATTTGCCAAGCTTGTTTGTCATTAATCAGGAGGGGAAAATTCTCCCATTTAGAGAATTTAAGCCAAAGATAACTTTTAAAACTTTTTCTATCTCTAATAAAGAGTGGATGAAGGGAGTCTGCCAAATTATTATGGATGATATCTAAATTATAAATAAGATTTCAATCTTCCCTAAATAGGTTCTATTTCATCAGAACATTCAATTACAAATTTATGCAGTTAAGCATTCAACCACAAAGGAATCCTACTTTTGAAAGACCACCTGACTGGTTTTCCTTTAAGCGAAATGTAGGAAGAGGCTCCTCTTTCCGGAGAGCGCTAAGTCTCATTCTCTTAGCAGCGAGGGCACAGCTCTTAATACTGAGACTCGCCTCAGCCAGTGCTGGTGCTCCTGAAGCCTGCAGTACATTTCAGTTATTAGCCTGCATTATTTTAAAGATGCAGGCAGCTACTGGTCTGCCCAATTGCAAACTTCAGAAATCTAAGCCAATGCAGCATAATGTAAAGTCTGCCAGTTGTTTTCCTCTTAGACATAATTCCAATAAAATTCAGTAGTTCTTTAAAAAAGAAGAAATGAAGATATTCACAGGCTATTCCCCCGATAAGATGCTAATTTCATGTTTTACTAGAACTTGGGCATTCTCAATGAATACTCAAAGACCAGAGGGTAAGATTCTGCGAGTAGACAAAAAGAGAAATGACACTTTGCCTATTTTGACCAGACCAAGAGGAGAGACAAGTGTTAACCGGTCACATTGGCAAGATTTTTAAGTGATGCTTGGTTTACAGCAATACGCTTTGCAGCAATCCCAGCTGCAAATAATCATCATCAAACCAACAGAATCAAAGTTTTGCAGAGAGCCCCCCAGCAAGTTTTAAATCATTTGCTGTATACTTACAGGAATTCCCAGCTTCGACTCTGTTCCAATTTTGAGTAGATAACAGAAGTAGCGTCTTGAGGACAGCTCCCGTGACAGATCCCATGTTCACATTTATTGGGCTCCCCCAAAAGATCTTGAGAGGCTCTCAGAGCGCTCCAGTCCTCTTCTCAGTAGCTCTGCCAGCTCTGTCTGGGTCTTCAGCCCCTCTAGGTCTCTGTCTCTCCCCCTCCCTTCCTCCTCACCTCCCTCCGTCTTTTCTTCTTCCCTCCTCCCTCTCTTCTCTCTCCCTCTCTCTCTCCCCGTCTCTGTCTCTCTCTTTTCTCTCTCTCTCTCACACACACCTCCCTGACTCCTCACTGAAAAGCACTCAGCATCTTTCCTAACAAGCATCCACACCGCCGAGGCCACGCCCACTCCTCGCAGCAGCGGTCCCACAAATTGGCAGCAGCATCCTTCCTTCCAAACACACAACAGCGCTCGAGCTCCGCTGCACCCAGAGGCGCGGCCTCCCGTTCGTGGGCCTCCTTGGGGCTCCCTCCCTTCTCTTCTATTTTCCAATAATCCTTAACCCTTTTCTCCCAGCTGGAGGTGTGAGTGGGGGAAGGGACAAGGCGGTGGAGCCTTCTGATTTTCTGGAGGTCTTGCATTTGCAAGAGCCAGAAAACACACTGAGCCATTCCTGATTATCCGGGAGTGCATCCAGGTAAAATTGCATTATGTTTCAAAACAAAAGCATAAAATAAGACAGAAATAACTAAGCAGCATTGGGAAATTGTAGCTAAAACCGTCCTCAGGGAAAATACTTGCTGTTGTTTTTCTCTGTTTCTATAAAACTGTACTCTTCAGCGAGGGTGCCAGGATTTTATTATGGAAATTCCCCACATGGGAACAGACATTCCTGCTTAGCAGATATTTAAAATCATCTGGTAGTAGTCTGCAAGAAATTAACATTTCTTATTTTAATGCTTCAGGTGTATAAATCCACAAATGAAATGCTTTGGCTAGATTTATGTTGATGAA
Organism: Homo sapiens; assembly: GCF_000001405.40. Lineage (NCBI taxonomy): Eukaryota > Metazoa > Chordata > Mammalia > Primates > Hominidae > Homo > Homo sapiens. Next base: position 76,276,745 of record NC_000016.10, on the reverse strand, counting down.
TGCATCATGCTGTGAATATGAAGTACCATTCTATAATCAAAATTTTTAATAACATTTCCAAAAAGGCCCAAAGTAGGAAATGAGGGAATACTGAAGAAAGGGACCTCCACCACCACCACATACACACATGCATACACATTCACACAAACACTGAACAATGTGACGATGTAATTCAGGTGACTTAAAGGAGAGAGGAGTAAAGTTGAATTTGGAAGATCAATGATTAAAGAAAAATTACTCTTTGAATGGCTGGTCCATGGATACAACTGTTTCTTGAATGGAATTTTAAAATGTCTAAATAATGGAGTTACTATCACATAACAAGAAGCATGTCACATGGTTCATAGCAGATAAATAATCTATTTAAAATAAATGTCAAGATGTTTTACTGATAATGTGCTAGATTTTATACAAATGGAAATCCTGGAGTTCTTAAGTGCCTCTTGGTAATCACAAATTGGAAGAAACATAAGCCTTTAACACCACTTTCTTATGGAATAATGAGAGTGGGTTTGTCAAAGATCAGATAGGTTTGTCAAAGAGTGAGAAAATGACAGAAATACCCGTAAGAACTAAACATGCTTGTTTAGCTCATGCCTGCAAACAAAGCAGAATGCATCTTTTTTCTTTTCCTGTTTTACAAGAGAAAACAAGAACAGAGAATTTAAATGATTCGAAGAGGTCATAGAGTTAGTAATAAATGCTGAGGACTGGATTTGGCTTTTCTGACTCCAGTTTTACTGCTCTCACCCTAGGACTTATTGCCCCTAAATCAGAGTATACCTCCTTCCTGACCCTTGTCAGTGGCAGCAAAAACCTTAGGCCCTAGGAAAACACAGCAAACACTTTGGGAGGCCAAGGTGGGCAAATCACTTGAGGTCAGGAGTTCGAGACCAGCCTGGCCAACATGGTGAGATCCCATCTCTACTAAAAATAAAAAAAATAGCAGGGTGTGGTCGCAGGCAACTGTAATCCCAACTACTTGGGAGGCTGAGGCAGGAATTCGCTTGAACCCGGGAGGCAGAGGTTGCAGTGAACCAAGATTACACCACTGCACTCCAGCCTGGCCAATAGAGCGAGACTCTGTCTCAAAAAAAAAAAAAAAAAAAAAAAGGATAAATACAATAAAATAAAGAAAGGTCATGGGTTGAGTGTTTATTCTGTGTTCCTAGACTTGCATTCCTGATTTTATTTTTTCAATCATATGCTAAGTAAAAGCAGATATAAATTAACAGTTTATGTTAACTAATTATTGAAGGAGATTAAATTTTACTGAACACATACTATATGCCATTTGTTATCTAATTGAATAATTATATCAGTCCTTTGAAGAAAATATCATGTCTGTGGGACGGTTGTGGGCTCTCCAGAAGAAAAAAGTTGTCTCGTTGTTACAATATTGTATTTAATTGTTCTCTTAAAACAAATTAGAGAATGCATCTTAAATGGATAAGTACACATAGCAAAAATGAAAAATAAACATTTTATAACAATAATAACTTCTTTGGGACAATGTATAAATTATTATAGTGACCAATACTGGCGGATTTTTCCATATCAATGGGCTACAGTAATAGAAGGAATTGGGGGCTGGCCCTCAATAGAAGACCTGAGCATTTCAAGTCACTGCAAAACCTGTCTCTGCCTGATGGCTGCAGAGGGGTAGAGAGTTGCCTAGACAAATGAAACAGTGAGTGCTTGAGATATGGTAAACAGAGAGGCCTCAGCCGGGCGCGGTGGCCCACGCCTGTTATCCCAGCCCTTTTGGAGGCCGAAGCGGGCAGATCACGAGGTCAGGAGATCGAGACCATCCTGGCTAACATGGTGAAACCCCGTCTCTACTAAAAATACAAAAAATTAGCCAGGCATGGCGGCAGGCGCCTGTAGTCCCAGCTACGTGGGAGGCTGAGGCAGGAGAATGGCATGAACCCAGGAGGCGGAGCTTGCAGTGAGCTGAGATCGAGCCACTGCACTCCAGCCTGGGCGACAGAACAAGACTCTGACTCAAAAAAAAAAAAAAACAAAACAAAACAAAACAAAAAAACCAGAGCGGCCTTGATACAAGCTTCCACTGTTGTTTTGATTAAATGACTCAATGATGCTGACCTTTCGTTTATTTATTTTATGACCCGATAGGAGAATCATGACCAAAGAGTTACTGTGGTATAACATATGACAACTATTGAATGCCTTGTGCTTAGTGGGCCCTCACTTACTTCCCAGCTTTAGATCTCTGCATTAAAACTGTACAGAGAATTGGTCTAAGCAGGCAATGTCAGAGCTTGGCCACCCAGGTTCAGTGTCTGTACAGGTTCCACCACCCACTAGCTGCACGGCCTTGGGCAAGCTGCATCAGGATAATAATCCTTGATCCTTAATTTCCTCATCTGTGCACCAACGATGAGTACGGTATCAACCTCATGGTTAAGACAATGTCCTGTGAAATGAGCATGCCTAGGAGGCGCATGATCAATATTCCTTTTGTAATCATTATATTAGTACAACTCACACGACACAGAAAAGAAATCTGATGAGCAGAGGGATTACAGCTTGTGGGATATGACCCACTGGTGGCAGAAAAGGGTTCATCTCCAAGACCTACTAACTTATGCATCATTTCTCCATTCCCTCCAGGATGGTGTTTAACATCAGAAAATCGAAGGAAAAGTCAGAAAAGTGTGGAGATCTAATTTTGCACACCTGTACTGCTGATTCAGATTCCTTTAATCACTTCTCCCTGTGTCTGTATTTTGGTTATGTTTTCCACCAATTAAGAAAAGACCCTGGTGTTTAAGGTCTCCCACGTCCATACTATAGGTTACACCCTGCCTGGCAAAAGCCATGTAAATCAGATCAAAATGTTGAAATTCTTAAAATCAGGCTTTGAATTATTTTCTTGTTACAACTTGCCAGAGAACTGTATATCCCACCACAGTGGTCCATGGAGGATCCTAAACTATAGTTTAGACTAGAAAAGGGCCAGAAGGCAAGAGTGGAACTATATTACATTGAAAGACTAGAAAGAAATTAACATACAATGTTTTTGTTTCATTTATTCATCTAACAGTTATTTTACCCTACATTTCTATTATAGGAATCTTTTCATTTCAAATCTGGGTAATCATTTCATTTCTTTTACATTGTTTGATTTGTCTTTATATCTTCCAAATGAAATGGATACTTTTTAGACATTGTGCTTTTACCTTCATTTTTATTGTAGTTAAAAAAAATACAACATTAAATTTACCATCATAATCATTTTTAAGTATAGTTCAGTAGTGATAAGAATATTCACATTGTGATCCAACAAATCTCTAGAACTGAAACTCTATACCCATTAAACATTAAATCCCTCTCTTCCCTCCCCTCCTGCAGCCATTGGCAACCACCTTTCTACTTTATGTTTCTGATTTTGACTACTTCAGATGCTTCATATGAGTGGAATTATATGGTATTTGTCATTTTGTGACTGACTGATTTCGCTTAGCATGGTGTCCTCAATGTTCATCCATATTGTAGGATGTGACCGGGTTTCCCTCTTTTTAAGGCTGCACAGTATTCCATTATATGTATACACTGTATTTTCTTTATTCACTCATCTCTCAGTGGACATTTGGAATTCTTCCACCTTTTGACCATAGTGAGTAATGCTACAAAGAACATGAGTGTGCAAGTATTCCTTTAAGATAATGCTTTGAATTATTTTGGATACATATCCAGAAGTGGGATTGCTGGATCACATAATCATTCATTTTTAAAGTTTGAGGAACCTTTATACTATTTTTTATAGCAGCTGAATCATTTTACATTTTTACCAACAGTGCACAGGGCTTTAATTTCTCTGTATCCTTATTTGAACTTGTTTTCTATTCTTTTGATAGTGGCCACACCAATGGGTATAAGATGATATCTCATTGAGGTTTTGATTTGCATTTATCTTGATTAGTGATGCTGAGCCTCTTTTCACATGCTTGTTGTCCATTCTTATGTCTTCTTTGGAGAATTGTCTATTAAGTTATTTGCTCATCTTTAAATCAGGTTATTTGTTTTTGGTATTGTGGAATTGTGGAAGTTTCTTACATAGTCTAGATATTAACCCCTTGTAAGATACATTACTTGCAAATGTCTTTTTCTATTTTGTAGGTTGATTTTTCACCTTTTGTTTCCGTTTGTGAACAGAAGTTTGATGTAGTCCCATTTGCCTGTTTTTGTTTAGTTACCTGTGCTTTTGATGTCATATCCAATGAATCATTGCCAAATTCAATGTCGTTTATGCTTTCTTCCGGGGATTTTATAGTTTTAGGTCTTATGTCTACGTCTTTATTCATTTTGAGTTAATTTTTGTCTGTGAGGTAAGATAAAGCTCAAACTTCATTCTTTTGCATAGGACTATCCACTTTTCCTACATCCTTTGTTGAAGAGACTGTCCTTTCCTCCACTGTGTGGATTGGCATCCTTGTGGAAGATAATTCTGTAGTATACACCAGAGTTCATTTCTGGGCTCTGCATTCTGTTCCATTGTTTTATATATCTGTTTTTATGCCAGTACCACAGTAAACTTGACTATTGCTGCTTCGTCATATGTTTTGAAAGGAGGATTGAGGCCTCCAATCTAGTTTATTTGTTTTCAAGATCATTTTGATTATTCAGAGTGCCTTAAGATTCCATATGAATTTCAAGGTTTTTTTTAATTTCTGAAAAAAAATGTCACTTGCATTTTGATAAGAATTGCATTTAATCTGTAGATCACTTTGGGTAGTATGGATATTCTAACATTAAGTTTCCAATCCACAAACACTGGATGTCTTTCTATTTATTTGTGTATTCTTTTATTTCTTTTAGCAACGTTTGATGGCTTTTTAGTGTATAACTCTTTCACTTCCTTGATTAATTTTGTTGCTAGTTGTTTTATCTTCTTTGATGTTATAGTAACACTCTAATTTCTTTTTTGAACTGGTTATTGTTAATGTATAGAAATGTTGCTTATTTTGTGTGTTGATTTTATATTCTGCAACTTTGTTAAAATCATTTATTTTGGATGCATTTTATTTCTTTTTCTTGTCTAATTGCTCTGGCTAGGACTTCCAGTACTATGGTGCATAGTAGTAGTGAAAGCAGACCTCTTTGCTGTGTTCGTGATCTCAGAAGAAAAACTTTCAGTCTTTCTCCATTGATTATGATGTTAGCTGTGAACTTTTCATATATGTATTTTATTATGTTGAGATAGTTTCCTTCAATTTCTAGTTTTAAGTATATTTATCATGAGAGGGTATTGAATTTTGTCAAGTAGTTTTGCTGCATCACTTGAGATAATCATGTGTTTTTTCCCCTTCATTCTGTTACTATGATGTAGTACAGTAATTGATTTTCATATTTTGAAACATCCTTTCATTCCAGGCATAAATCCCACTTGGTTATAGTGTATAATCTTTTAATGTGCTATTCAATCAGTTTACTAGTATTCTGTTGAGGATTTTTGCATCAGTATTCTGTAGAGATGTTAGTCCACAGTTTTCCTGGTGTGTCTTTGTCTGGTTTGGATATCAGGATAATGCTGGCCCCATAAAATGAATTTGGAAGTTTTCTTCCTCTTCAATTCTTTGGAAGAGCTTGAGGAAGATTGCTGTTAACTCTTCTTTAAATGTCTGGTAGAGTTCTCCAGTGAAGCCATCTGGTCCTGGGCTCTTCTAGGTTGGGAGGTGTTTGCTTACTGCTTCAATCTGCTTACTAGGTAAAGGTCTGTTCAGATGTTTTGTTTCTCCATGATTCAATCTTGAAAGGTTGTATGTTTAGAAAAATTTACCCATTTCTTCTTGGTTTTCCAATTTGTTGGCACGTAGTTGTTCAAGTAGTTCTCATAAAACATTTCCCTTCTCACTTTAATTGTAATACCTCTTCTTTCATTTCTCATTTTAGTTGTTTGAGTCTTCTCTCTTTCTTCATTGTTAGTCTAGGTAAAGGTTTGTTAATTTTGATGAAATAAACTCGGTTTTATTGATTTGTTTCCATTCTTTTATACACAATTTCATTTTTCTCTTTTCTAATTTTTATAATTTTCTTCCTTCTGCTAACTTTTGGTTTAGTTTGTTCTTCTTTTTCTAGTTCCTTCAGGAGTAAAGCTGTTTATTTGAGATTTTTCCTTTTTTAATTTTTTAATTTTTATGGGTATATTTAGGTGTACATATTTATGACACAGATGAGATATGTTGATACAGATATACAATGTGTAATAATCACATCAGGGTAAATGGGGTATCCATCATCTCAAGCACTTATCCTTTCTTTGTGTTATAAAAAATCCAATTATACTATTTTAGTTATTTTTAAATGTACAATAAATTATTTTTTACGATAGTCCCTCTGTTGTGCTATCAAATACTAGAATTTATTCATTCTTTATAACTATATTTTTGTACCCATTAACCATCCCCACTTGCCCCCACCCCTCTCCCACCCTTCCCAGCCTCTGGTAATCATCATTCCATTTTTTTATCTCCATGTGTTCAATTGTTTCAATTTTTGGCTCTGACAAATCAGAGAGGGCATGTTAAGAGTGTCATTGGGTGCCTGGCTTATTTCACTTATCATAGTGACCTCCAGTTTCATCTATGTTGTTGCAAATGACAGGATCTTGTTCCTTTTTATAGCTGAATAATACTTCATTGTGTATATGTACCACGTTTTATCTATTCATCTGTTAATAGACACTTGGATTAAATCCAAATCTTGGCTATTGTGAATAGTACTGCAATAAACAGATATCTCTTTGATATACTGATTTTCTTTCTTTGGGGTATACACCTAGCAATGGGATTGCTGGATCATATGGTAGTTGTATTTTCAGTTTTTTAGAAACCTCCATACTGTTATCCACAATGGCTGTACTAATTTACATTCCTACCAACAGCATATGAGGGTTCCCCTTTCTCCATATTCTTGCCAGTATTCATTATTACCTATCTTTTGGATAAAAGCCATGTTAACTGGGGTGAAATGATATTTCATTGCAATTTTGATTTGCATTTCTCTGACAATCAGTGATGTTGAGCACCTTTTCATAAATCTGTTTGCCATTTGTACGTCTTCTTTTGCAAAATGTCTATTCAGATATTTTGCCCATTTTTAATTAGATTATTAGATTTTTCCTATAGAGTTGTTTAAGCTCCTTATATATTCTCTTTATTAATCCCCTATCAGATGGAAACTTTGCAAATATTTTCTCCTATTCTGTGGGTTGTCTCCTCACTTTGCTGGTTGTTTCCTTTGCCATGCAGAAGTTTTTTAACTTGATGTGATCCCATTTGTCCATTTTGGCTTTGGTAGCCGGTGCTTAAGGGATATTACTCAAGAAATCTTTGCCCAGACCAATGTCCTGGAGTGTTTCCCCAATGTTTTCTTTTAGTGGTTTCATATAATTTTTCCTATTTTTTTAATGTGAGTGTTTGCCACTGTAAACTTTCTTAGTACTTATTTCACTGTATCCCACAAGTTTTGGTATGTTGTGCTTTCATTTTCATTTGTCTCCAGATATTTTCCAAATTCCCTTGTGATTTCTTCTTTAACCCATTGGTTATTTAAAAGTGACTTAATTTTTACTTACTTGTGGATTTTGTTTTCTTTCTGTTATTGACTTCTAGTTTCATTCCATAGTGGTCAGAAACTTACTTTGCATTTTTTCAGTCTCCTTAAACTTGTTAAGACTTGCTTTGTGGTCTAACATGTGGTCTGCCTTCGAGAATGTTCCATGTGCAGTTGAGAAAAACATGTATTCCACAGCTATTGGGTGGAGTGTTCTGTATATGTCTATTAGGTCTGATTGGTATATAGTGTTATTCAAGTCCTCTGGTTTTTTTTTTTTTTTTTTTTTACTTGACAGATGAAATTATATACATACAAATTTATCATGTCCAACATAGTGTTTTGAAATATATGTACATTGTGAAATGGCTAGATCAAACTCATTAACATGTATATATCTTATCTTAGCCCATTTTTTGCTGCTGTGACAGAATACCTGAGACTGGGTAATTTATAAGGAACAGAAATTAACTAGGCTCACTGTTCTGGAGGCTAGAAAGTCCAAGAGCATGGTTGTGGACTCTGGTGAGGGCCTACTTACTGCATCATCCCATGGCAGAAACAGGAAGACTAAGACAGCAAGAGAGGGCCAAACTCACTTTTATAACAAGCCCACTCTCATGATAACTAATCACTTTTGTGATAAAAAAAAATTAACCCATTCATGAAGGCAGAGTCCTCTTGACCTAAACACATCTTAATAGGCGCTACTTTCCAACACTGTTGCATTGAACAGTAAGTTTCCAACATACGAACTTTGGGGGACACATTCAAACCATAGCATGCATTACTTCATATAGTTGTCATTTTGCGGTGAGAACCCTTAAAATCTACTTTCTTAGCATTTTTCAAGAATATAGTACACTGTTGTTAACTACAGTCCTCATGACGTATGTAATACATATCTTGAACTTACTCCTCTTATCTAATTGAAATGTTGTAACCTTTGACCAACATTTTCCCAACCCTCTTCCCCACTGCTTCCCTATCTTCTGATGAGCACCATTTTACTCTCTATTTATATGAGATCAACATTTTTAGATTCCATATAGGAGTGAGATCAGGCAGTATTTATCTTTTGGTGCCTGGCTTATTTCACTTAACACCATGCCCTTCAGTTTCATCCATGTTGTCAGAAATGACAGGATCGCCTTCTTTTTTAAGGCTGAACAGTATTCTAATGTGTATACATACACCATATTTTCTTTATCTACTAATCTGTTGATGGGCACTTAGGTTGATTTTATATCCTCACTATTCTGAATAATGCTGCAATAAATATGAGTGCAGATATCACTTTGACACAGTAATTTACTTTTTTTCTTTTAGATATATATCCAATAGTGCTAGATACAAACTATATTTTTAACTTTTTAAGAAACTTCATACATTTTCAATTAATGGCTGTACTAATTTGCATTCCCTCTTTTTAAATTGTGCTTCTATTTGGTTGTTTTATCCATATCTGAAAGTAGAGTATTGAAACCTTCTACTACTATTAACTTGCTTTCTGTTTTTCCCTGTATTTCTATCAATGTTTGATTCATATATTTGGGAGCTCTAATGTTAATTACATGCATATTTCTAAGTGTTCTATCTTTCTGGTGAATTTGGTTTTTTATAATTACATAATGTACTCCTTCGTCTCTTGAGACAGTTTTTGTCTTAAAGTTTACTTTGCATGAGTTAACTATGGCCACCCCTGCTCTCTTTAAGTTTTTATGCATGGAATACCATTTTCTATCCTTTCACTTTTAACCTATGTGCATCCTTAGATTGAAAGTGAGTTTCTTGTAGACAGCATATGGTTGAATCTTGTTTTATATCAATTTACCCAATCTATGTCTTCAAATTTGGGGGCTTAATTTATTTACATTTAAAGTAATTACTGTTATGAAAGGATTTACTATTTCCATCCTGTTAACTGTTTTCAGTATATAATATAGCTTTTTGTCTCTCCTTTTCTCTCTTGCTGCCTCTTTCTGTGTTTTATTAATTTTTATAATGACATGTTTTGATATGCTTCTCATTTTTCTTCGTGTATATTCTATACACATTTTATTTGTGGTTACCATTATAATTACATAAAACATTTTAAAATTGTAACAATATATTTTAAACTGATTATAACTTAATTACATATAAAAACTGTACTCCTTTTCATCTCTGTTACTCCTGCACTACATTAGTGACACAAATTAGCTTTTTATATTGTGGGTCTATTAATATGAAGTTATAATTACTATTTATGCTTTTGTTTTTTTAATCCTACAACACATCAAAAATTATTTATGCACCTGCATTATAATACTATAGGATTCTATATTTTTCTATATATTTACCCTTACCAGAGAGTTTTACATTTTCATATAGTTTCCTGTTGCTATTTATTATTCTTTCACTTCATCTTGAAAGACTACCTTTAGTTTTTCTTGTAAAGTAGCTCTAGTTGTAATTAACTCCTTCCATTTTTATCTGGGGAAGTCTTCATTTATTCTTTAGTTCTGAAATGCAGTTTTGCTGGATATAGTTTCTTAGTTGGTAGTTTTTCTTCCAGCACTTTGAATATATCATCCCACTTCAATCTAGCCTGCAAAGTTTCTGCGACAATCTCCTGATAATCTAATAGAAGTTCCCTTGTATATGGTGAGTCACTTTTCTCCTGCTGCCTTCAAAATTCTCTTTGTGACTTTTGATGGTTTGATTATGATGTGTTTTGGTGATATCTCTTTCGAGTTATCCTAGTCAGAGCTCTTTCAGATTTTGAATTTGTGTGTCCATTTCTCACTTCAGATTTCGGAAGTTTTTGGTCAATATTTCTTCAAGTAAGCTCTCTGTCCCTTTCTCTCTTTGTTTTCCTTCTCAGATTTAATAAATGCTTTTGTTGTTTCACTTGATGGTGTCTCCTAAGTCCCTTAGTCTGTTCTTTTCTTTATTTTTTTTTTCTTTTTGGACTTCTGCTTCAGTAATTTTGAATTTTCTATTTTTGAGTTCACTGATTCTTTTTTCATCTGTTCAAGTCTGCTGTTGAGTCTCTCTAGTGAATTTTTCAACTCAGTTGTCATGTTCTTTAGCTGCAGAATCTCTGTTCAGTTCTTCACAGTTTCTCTCTGTACTGATATTCTCATTTGGTTTATGCCTTGTTTTCCTTATTTTATTGTTTCTATTCTCTTATAATTCATTGAGCATCTTTTGAAGATTATTTTGAAATCTTTGGCTAGTAATCCATATATCTGTTTTTTTAGGGGTGATTACTGGAGAATTAGTATGGGTCTTTGATTGGGCCTTATTTCTACTGTTTCTTTATATGCCTCCTTATCTTCTGTTGGGACTTGAGCATTTGAAAATCAGCCACCTCTCTCAGTCTTTGTGATCCAGTTTTGTGCAGGGAAGACTTTCAACAACCAGATGGGCTATAGATTCTGGAGACCTCTCAAGACTTTTCTGAGGCTATGTCATCGTGGGTTTGCGTGTAATCTAATTACAGAGGTTTGCCAGTTCCTACTCAGGAGCTCCCCTGGTGACTTTCTGTGGTACTGCAGACTGGCACTAAACCAAGCCATGTTAATTGCCTTTGTTCTCAGCAGCCCCAACCAGGCTCCCTACTCCTGTCAGTACTTAGAAAAGATAGAAACCAGTTCCTCAGGAAGCCCTATAAAAATTCAAGATAGTTAACATACCTTTTATTCTAACATATTTTTTCCTCTCCTATTTATCTTCCCAGAGAGAAGTTGGAAATTTTCTCCTAATTGCATTGCACTGTACTAGGAGAAGGGCTCTGAGAAGTGAGTATCATAAATTTTCCTAAGAGAATTCCATTCAGACGGCATTGTGCTTGCCTGGAGTGCACAAATCTCCTACCTGGTTTTTTGATTTTGCACAAAGGCAATTGGATATATACTGTTGTTAAACTGACGTCTCTGGGGGAGCAGGAAAATCTGAGTCTTCCTATTCTGCCATTTTGCTGATGTCATTGCTCAAAATTGATGTTTTTTAAACTAAAATATAGTAGAAGTAATAAAAATTTTGCCAAAACCCCGTTTCAACTATATTCTGAATAATATGAACAATGCTTCCTATATAACCAGTAAATATACAAAAATAGTCATTGTTGGGTTTGAACCTTTATGCATTAATATATTATTAATGACATTTACTTTATTTTATGTTGCACATTTAGTTAAGAGACTTGACTTTCAATAGCATAAATGCATTTTATTAGCAATTTTTATATTTCCCTAAGCACTACTATTTTGTTTTCTCTTTTAATCTGTATATTACAGATAGTGTAAGTGATGACTTTGATAATAACACATATACTAAGCTTTGCAATTTTACAAACACCCAAAACTCTAGCAGCACACTTTTTCTACTAACATCTCACCTGACACAACCCTTCCATTATAAAGATTTACTTAGTAAATTAAGATAAAAAATTATAGCCAACACTGGATGTCCTCTTCAAAAATGTAGTAATAATAAAAGATATTTATGTTTCTTATGTTGAATGGCAGCTTTACTTCCTTTTCTTTAACATTGTTAAAGAAACTTTGGAATTTTTGCTTACCCAAACAAATTATACACATATATGTATATATGTGTGTATATATGTATAATATAAAAATATGTATATATATTACACACAAGTTCAGTAATCTCTTAGTCTGCCATATTTAATATGCTATTACTTTCAGAATTTTTTATATCAGGTATTGTATCTTTTAGTTGTAAAACTTCAACTCACATCCTTTTCATTTCTTCCATGGTACTACTTAACCCTTTGAGCATATAAAAAATAATTAAGTCACTTAACATCTTTATCTGCTCATTCTACATCTTTGTTAGATTATAATAGTAATATTAGATTATTATGGATTATTTTCCTCATTATAGGTGGTATTTCTTGCTTTTTTGCATGCCTGGCAATCTATAATTAGATGCCAGATGTTGTGTAAAATTTACATTATTGGTTGCTAGATTTTTGTATCCCTACAAACATTCTTGAGTTTTGTTCTAGGCTGCAGTTAAGTTACTTAACAATAATTTGATTCATTTAAGTCTTGCTTTTATAATTTTTTCAGGTGAGTGTGAAGTAGTTCTTAACCTAGAGCCACTGAGACAAGACTTTCCTGAATATTCTATCCAATGCCCTAAGAATTACGAGTTTTTCTTGTCTGGCTAATAGAAATAAGCACTATTCTCAGCCCTATGAGAGTAATAAAACCTCTTCCTTCTAATTGTTTGTTTGTTTGTTCATTTGTTTTAGAAACAGTGTCTTGCTCTATCACTCAGGCTAGAGTGCAGTGATGCAATCATCCCTCTAATAGTTCTTAATGTTTGTTCCTGGTCTCAGATAGTTTCTTTACACACATGTGCTGATTAGTATTTGGCTGAGTACTCAAGAGGAAACTTCCACAGATGAATAAGTTTCTCTCTCTATGCAATTCGCTTCTCTCTTGGACTCTCCTGTGAATTACAGCAGCCTTCATGTTCCAAACTCACAGATCCATCTCCTCAACTCAGAGAACCCATCAGACTCAATCTAGGTTTCCCCTCCCTATACCATGGACTGGAAACTTTCTACAGGCAGCAAGCTAAGGCAATTAGAGAGATCACGTTGTTCCTCATCTTTCAGAGATGATTGTACTTTGTCCCTTGAAACGTAATATCTTAAAAGTCATTATTTTATACATTTTTGTCTCTTTATATTGGTTATTTCAATTAAAAGAATAAATCTGATCCCTGTTCTTCTATATTGGGTGGAAGTATTTTTTTAAATGATGGTTTTATATGCTTCTGTTTTCCATGGGATAAAAAGGTGTGACATGAAGAGCATTCTATCTAAATTATTTCCCTCCAACAAAAGTTGGTTAACCATCTCTGGGAAGTTGAAAGAGGAGAACATAGAGTTTAAATTTTTTTTCTAAAATAATTAGAAAATAATTTTTCTTTTTAGAAAAAAATTGCTTTAATATTTCTGTAAAATAAGTACTACATGAATGTTCTCATCTCTAATTTAATATCATGAGGCATCATAACACCAAAATTCACTGTCAACTATGTTTCTCTATATGATTATTCTTGATTTAGGTGTCTTCTTTGGTATAGAAAAATAAGTGTGACACTAAATCAAGGTTTAACTTAACACATAAAAAGAATGCATACATAAAATTGGAGTAAGATTTCAGGAATGAGAAAATAAATCATTGATTTCACCAAAAGGTTTTAAATACATTTAGCATAAGACAAAACACTTAACCCCTTAAACAGAGATAACAATATGCTTAAAATTCAAAAATACTGAAAAGGGGAGATTAGATCACCCATATTTGAACCTCAAGATTTTCAGCCATTTTTCCAGGAACCAGTCATGATTCATGGGAGGGCAAAGATTATCTGATGCAAGAAAGTTGAACAGAAGAGAACATTTAAAAAAGCAGAATGGGTAGAGTATGGTGAGGGGAATGGGACTATGAAGAAAAGGATAATTAAGGTGTCAAAGATGGGTTTGCCTCCTGTACAGTTTTGTCTCCATGAAACCCGGTGACTACAGCATTCAGAATTTCACCTCCCTGATAGAAAAAGCTTATCCCAGCAGGAATGAATAGTGTTAGAAAATATCATGCTTAGATTTGTGATGTCTTTATAGTGAAGTGATTTAAGCTTAAGGGAACACAGTTACTATACAAAACAAAGAATTCAATAGATGAGGACTTTGAAAATTTTATATATCTACCAGCATTTATGTTTTAGAACTTTAGACTGCCTCATGGAATGTTTCCATTTCTCAGAACAATGAAGCAGAAACAATTTTGGCCTCAGGCAGGTCCAGGGAAATCAAATCCACCTACCACCTAGATCTTCAGATCCACAACACACAGCAAGTTTCATGCCTGTCAACTGATGTGCCTTAAGGGAGCAATTCTCCAACTCTCAGGTAGAAAACTACTGTTATAGAAGAGTGAGGATAGCTGAGATTAACCTCCTACAAGTAAAATTGGTTGTTACTTTTGCAAACATGGCAGTGGTGCCATATTTACAGTAGCACGAAAAGGAAGAAAGCACTTACAGAGTTCACTTATCTTTTGAAGAGGCTAGCTCACTTTATGTGTACTATCTGAGCACTTCCCAGTTAGAGACTGGGGAGTAAGCCCTATAAGGTAGATACATGCATGAAATCTTTTCATCTTGGCCTACTTTTAAATATGGTAGATACTAGCCATATTAGAACTAGAGCCAATTGTTCACTCACACTGGCCATATTTCAAGGGTTTAATAATAATACATGTGGCCAGCAGCTACCATATTAAATAAAGCAGATACAGAACATTTTCATCAAAGCAGAAAGTGGTACACTAGATGCCTTTAAAGCTGGGTAACATTATTACAAATTGCCAATGTTTCAGTAACTAATTTCTCCTTGAAAAACATTTAACAGCAAGTTTCCTTCCAATCTTACTGAAATCATGTACATTAAATTTTTAGGTCGTACAGTCTCAAAAGAGAAAAAATGTGCTTTGCTCTTTGTGGATAAATATTGAACTCAGTGAAATAAACCACCTAGATTGCTCACAGATAACATTTTCCTGGTGTATGTTGATACATCATGGTGGTAAATAAAAGTGAAAGATTACATGCAGGGTACCTTACTAAGAGTATACATTCAATAGTCCTCTGAAACAAATTAGTGTGCATGCTTCCATATTCATTGCAGCATAATTCACAGTAGCCAAGATATGGAATCAAAGTGCTCAGTCACCAAAGTGACCATCAACAAATGAATGGATTTTTAAAATGTGATCGATATACACAATAGAATACTATTTAGCCTTTTAAAAGAAGGAAATAGTGGCTCATGTCTGTAATTCCAGCACTTCAGGAGGCTGAGGCAGGTAGGTCACAAGGTCAGGAGCTCGAGACCAGCCTGGCCAAGATGGTGAAACCCTGTCTCTACTAAAAATACAAAAATTAGCTGGGCATGGTGGTGGGTGCCTGTAATCCCAGCTACCTGGGAGGCTGAGGCAGAAAATTGCTTGAACCTGGGAGGCAGAGGTTGCAGTGAACTGAGATCACACCACTACACTCCAGCCCAGGCAACAGAACAAGACTCCAAAAAAAAAAAAAAAAAAGAAGAAGGAAATGCTATCATTTGTGACAACCTGAATAAATCTGAAGGACATTATGTTAAGTGAAATAAGTCAAACACAAAAAGGCAAATACTACATGATCTCACCTATTTACAGACTAAAAAAGTTGAACTCAAAAGCAGACAGTTACCAGAGGCTGGTTACCAGAGGCTGGAGAAAGGAGGGTTGAGGACATGTTGTTCAAAGGACACACAATTGTAGTTAGACAGGAGAAATAAGTTCAAGAGATCAATTATACAACATGGTGACTATAGTTAAAAAAAAATGTTTTTTTTTTTCTTAAAAGATGCTCAGAGAGTAGGTTCTAAATGTTCTCACCAAAAAAACATGGTACATATGTGGGGTAAGGCATCTGTTAATTAGCTTGATTTAGCTATTCCAAAAACATATACAAATTTTAGAACATCATGTTGTACATAAGTATATACAACTTTCATTTGTCCATTTAAAGTAAAAATAAATAAATGAAAAAAATAGTGTGCACACTGTGGTCAAAATTTCAAATAATGTGGCATGGATATGAAAAATAAAAGGAAAAAAATTTCTAGCAAAACAAGGCCTAAATGTGGAACAAAAATGATTACAGTGAAGATTTACTGAGCAAGTGGCCTAGGTGAATAAAATTGTGAAAAGAATGAGACTGAGAGCAAAAGCTTTGAATTTCAACTCCTCTCACCTACTACAGTAAATCATCAAATCTTTCTAAACCTTGGTATTTGCACTTCCCTTCCAGGTTGGTTGTGAATATTATGTGAGAATAATTAATACTAAGTGTCTCACCCAATTTCTGTAACACAGTGAGGGTGTAATAAATGAGTGTAATTATTATTAATATAAAAATAAACTCAAGAAACTTTTTTAAAACTTTCAAATACATTACATACATAATCATACATAATTATCATTATAAATGTATTTGATGTCACTAAGCATTTATCCCAAACCAAAGGTTTAATATACTCAGCCTTAGATTTTTAAAACATATATCATAGGTATGATATTTGCCAGAGAGCAGCGTGGTAGAATATTTTATTTGGTCCTTCCAAATTTCTGTAGTATATTGCTATATTTTTGGATGATGTTACCCCAGATCAATTTTTACACTAAAAAATTATATTATTGAAATCCATTATATTCATGATCCCTTTATTAAAAAGCTACCCACAAAGGGTACTGGGAGGGTGGGGAGGAGGTGGGTATAGTCAAAGAATAGTTTGAAAGAATGTACAAAAAATAGTTCAAAAGAATGAATAAGACCTAGTATTTGATGTGAACCTTTTTCAACTACAAAGTCCTTGCAAAATTATTTATGCCATTGAATGTCTAGGTTAAATTAAGAAAGTTGAAATTTTCCTGCAGAAGAACTTCATTTAAGTACCATTGAATATAGATCCTCTATCAGATTAAGATTATTACTTATTCTATTTCATGCGATTGTGCTTTTTCTTAACTTCTTGTTTCTTATAAGTCATGAGACATTATTTATGACACATGTGTGAGACATTATTTATGATATATGTGTTATAGATAGATAGATACAGAATATGTATATCTGTATTGTTATATATAGTTATAATTTAGCAATTTTTCAAGGACTTTAGATCTTGAGTATATAGTTTTATAGGTATCTTCTCTTCAGTTGACTCATTTTCAAGAAAATCAGTGAAGTGGAGCCTCCCCGAAAGGATGCATAGATAAATCATAAAGCTTCACATTCTTGAACAAATTGCACTTTTACATAATGATTCTGTTAATTTTATTTAATACATAAAGGAAAATTTTGTAAAACTCATGGATTATCTTGAAAATAACTCATGACATTATATATTGTCAAGATTATTGGCCTCCTTATTAAATAAGCTATTTTTCTTGCCAATATGAATCTATATTAGGGTTCACAAAAAACTCATAAAAACTTGCACATTCCTCTTGCCTTTCAGAAAGTGAGATTTATGACCATGGCAAAGATTTGTTCATTTATAGAATATCGTCCAAAGGAAATATAAAATTGGTTATAAAATTATTTGGGATGGGTAAAATATCTCATTGTTAATTATTTTATAAGGCAAACAGCATCATCTTTAAAAGAAAACAAAAGTAATCATTACGAAAATGTTGCAACTCTTTGCTAGTTATTAAAATAATCTAAAACTGAAGCAAATATTGTATTTCGATCAAACTTTGCTGTATAAAAACGACCCCAAAACTTAGTACCTGAAGACAATAGTTTATTATTTCTGATATTTTGATGATTAGTAGGGCTAGAAAATCCAAGATGGCCTCTCTCATATGTTGTTAGGGACCGGATGTAGCACTTTAGTTCTCCTTCACATGATTAGAGTGTCTTCTTGACATGGAGGTCTTTGAGCAGTGGTCAAAGAGGATTAAAGGTGTCAGCTACAAGATCTCTTGAGGCCTTATCTCTAATGGTCACACCATGTCACTCCCACCACATTCTATTCAACAAAGCAAATCACAAGTCCAGCACAAATGGAACAGAACAGAGAAATAGATTTTACTTCAGTATGAGAAAAGTGGCAATGTCACATTGCAAAAAGAGGTATATACTGGAATGGGAAGAATTTGTAGCCATTAAACTATCGATCTCATGCCAAGTTTTTTTTTTTTCATCTTTGCATTATTTTTCTGACAAATTTGTATGACAGCAGAAGACACTGTTTGCATCTGTCTGACTTTAACAGCATAAATACAAAAGGTAAATTTCTCAAAAATATGTTTGGTATTCATCAATTTTTCCAAAGGCTTTTCTTAATCTCTTGATATTCAAATCATTATCTTTTGAGGTTTGAAATAAATTTGCATTTAATTTGCTATATACAGATAATGTTGACAGCATCTTATACTCAACAATGAACTAACCTAGAAATGACCTAACACAGGAGTGAGGGGCATCTATGCTAGTGTAAGCAAGAATGACCATTGAGAAGGGCCTGATTTTATAAATAATCAATTTATTAATAGCTGTTTTGCTATAAGAATTTTGTGACTACAGAGTCTTAAAATTGCAGACCTGGGATTATATTTAGTTAGGAAGGACCTTCTCTCATCCAAATTATTTTTAACTCCTTATTTTGTATTCAACATTGCACTATTGCCCTAGTTTCAACTATGAATAAACGGAACCATTCTATGAATTTCAAATACAAGGGGGGTAATATGGAATTTTCTTAGATGGGTATTGAAAGGGCCATGGGAACAGAAGCCAAGATTATCCAAAGATTAATAACTGCAGGAAAGCATTACCATGTTTGGATTGGAGAAGCAAAGGAGCCAATAATGTTACCTGGAGCACACAGCACAGTGCTCCTGGGGATCCACAGTTGGAGCTGAGCTGCCTGAGCAGATACCCAGAATACTGCCCTCCCAGCAATTTCACAGTTGCTCCAGCCTCCATCATTCCTGGCAATGTCCCATGTGGATCTTACCAAAAAGTCCAAGAAAGGAGTAGTGTCTCCCCTCTTTCTATCCGCATTAGCTGAACCCAGCAGAAGCTACAAGTTACGGGACTCAAGGGAATGTAATTCACAGGTTCATAGACTCCCACAACACACGGCAGAACACTGAGAGGCAAGAATGGGGCTCAGACCAAATTGGCTAACCATCTGCACAGTGAATAAGACAGAGTACCTGCCTTCCTGAGGGCCACAAAGCCATGGTAAACATGCATATTAGCAACCCTCAAGCAAGTTCTATTGCCATGAGTACTGTGATAAGGTAATAATGTGGTGGACTAATTCCAGGAAAGAAGCATAATGAGTTGGGAGATCAGAGAAGGTAAAATATTAACTGCAATTTAAATGTTAGGCAGGAGTCTGAAAAGTTGCTATCTGGGCAGGAGAAGGGATTCGCAAAGAGAGGAAATGACGTTGTTTTGTTTATAGGCAAGACTACAACATAAATTTGAAAGCCTGATGTTTCTTGGATTGGATAGCGTTCAAAGGGCTTACTCTTTATTAATAAAAATAAGACATTTTTTACAAGTTGGAGTTAGATTTAACTTGGGTTTCCTAAAAAGCGATATCTCTTTTCAAATATATCAACGAAGCATTTTAAACCTTTCCCTACTTAAAAATAGGCAAGAACTAAGCATATTCCCAATTACATCCCTTTATACTTTAAGTGGTTGCTAATTTACTTCCCTTCCCTGCTTAACTTTATGAAAGTCTACCTGAAGCATTAGGGGGATTGGCTCCGTGGGGTAGCTGCTAAATTCCACTGAGATTACACTTTGTAGAAGCATAGCAAATTGTGGTAGAGCTATCTCCCCTGTGAGGAATACAGTAGAATATGTGCCATTCACTTTCTCTTTCTCAAATTGCTTCTAAAAGCATTATTCTGTGTGGAATGATGAAAATCCCTTGGGTCACTGGGTCAGGGCTAGAAACCACCATGGGATTTAGATACCAGGAGAACTGACCTTGAGTCTTGGCTTGGCTTTGAACACTGTCACCTTGGGAACTTTATCTGTAAAATAAGATTTGAATAGATGATCTCGAATGCTCCTTTCATCTCTGATAAAGTAAAAATATTATGAAAAAGGTTGAAAAGATGCTTGAGTCAAAGTGAATGGTAGAATGCACTACAAAATTTGCTTTCAGTTTATTCTAAATATGTAAAGTGTCAGTTCTTTTCTCTGCATTTTGGTCTATCTGTTTTCTTATTTCATTATTTTCAAGCAGAATGCTATAAAACTATGAGGAGACATAATATTTTATAAATTAGACATAAGGGTCTTAGAGAACCATGTTACTAAGGAATAAACACCTGTAATTTTGTCAGGAATAAACAACTTCTGTAATTTTAGAACCTGTGTGCAGAGTGATCTTAAGGAGCTACTCTGTTCTATTCTGCTGTTCTTTGTGGTACAATGATATGATGAAGGGATATTGGACTTAAACCTCACTGACTAACTTCAGGCTTTATGCCTTTGTATTTATATGATGTTAGACACAGAAACTGACTTTCTGATCTTTAATTTCTTTTTTCTTATCCGACACATAAAATGATATTAGTCATTATCTTTGGTTCACAATTCTCTATCACCAAGAGTTTACATATGACTCTCTTTATTTTTATTTTCAGTCTATTTCATAATTTTGAAAAAAGTAATGAGTATAAGATAGTGAATACAAGGAATACCCACATACTTTTTTTTTTTTTGCTTATTTTCAAAGTTATATAATAAGCCATATTGAATAAAGTCTGGCTTTCTTTTTCACTCCACAAGATATTACTAAGAATAATCTATGTTGTTCTGTTGCCCTTGGTAGTTGTATTAGGCTATTCTTGAACTACTATAAAGAAATACCTGAGCCTGTGTAATTTATAAAGAAAAGAGGCTTAATTGGCTCATGGTTCTGAAGGCTGTACAGGAAGCATAGCAGCTTCTGCTTCTGGGGAATCCTCAGAAAGCTTACAATCATGGCAGAAGGCAAAGAGAGAGCAGGTGCTACATGTGGCAAAAGCTGGAACGAGAGAGAGAGAGAGCTGGGTGGTGGGGAGGTGCCACACTTTTAAATGAACAGCTCAAGGGGGGGTTCCAAGATGGCAGAATAGGAACAGCTCCAGTTTACAATTCCCAGCGTGAGCAACGCAGAAGATGGGTGATTTCTGCATTTCCAACTGAGGTACCAGGTTTATCTCACTGGGGCTTGTCAGTCAGTGGGTGCAGGACAGTAGGTACAGGACAGTGGGTACAGCCCACCGAGCAAGAGCCAAAGCAGGGTGAGGCATCACCTCACCTGGGAAGCACAAGGGTTCAGGGAATTCCCTTTCCTAGCCAAGGGAAGCTGTGACAGATGGCAACTGGAAAATTGGGTCGCTTCCACCCTAATACTGTGCTTTTCCAATGGTCTCAGCAAAAGGCACACCAGGAGATTATATCCTGCGCCTGGCTCAGAGGGTCCCATGCCCACGGAGCCTGGCTCATTGCTAGCACAGCAGTCTGAGATCAAACTGCAAGGCGGCAGCGAGGCTGGGGGAGGGGTGCCTGCCATTGCTGAGGCTTCAGTAGGTAAACAAAGCGGCTGGGAAGCTCAAACTGGGTGGAGACTACCGCAACTCAAGGATGCCAGCCTGCCTCTGTAGACTCCACCTCTGGGGGCAGGGCATAGCCGAACAAAAGGCAGCAGAAACCTCTGCAAACTTAAATGTCCCTGTCTGACAGCTTTGAAGAGAGTAGTGGTTCTCCCAGCACAGAGTTTGAGATCTGAGAATGGATAGACTGCCTCCACAAGTGGGTCCCTGACCCCCAAGTAGCCTAACTAGGAGGCACCCCCCAGTAGGGGCAGACTGACACCCCACACGGCCGGGTACCCCTCTGAGACAAAGCTTCCAGAGGAACGATCAGGCAGCAACATTTGCTGTTCAGCAATATTCGCTGTTCTGCAACCTCTGCTGCTGATACTAAGGCAAAAAGGGTCTGGAGTAGACCTCCAGCAAACTCCAACAGACCTGCAGCTGAGGGTCCTGACTGTTAGAAGGAAAACTAACAAATAGAAAGGGCATCCACACCAAAACGCCACCTGTACGTCACCATCATCAAAGACCAAAGCCAGATAAAACCACAAAGATGGGGAAAAAACAGAGCAGAAAAGCTGAAAATTCTAAAAATCAGAGCACCTCTCCCCCCTCCAAACGAACGCAGCTCCTCACCAGCAATGGAACAAAGCTGGATGGAGAATGACTTTGACGAGTTGAGATAAGAAGGCTTCAGATGATCAAACTACTCCGAGCAAAAGGAGGAAGTTCGAACCCATCGCAAAGAAGCTAAAAACCTTGAAAATAGATTAGACGAATGGCTAACTAGAATAACCAGTGTAGAGAAGTCCTTAAATGACCTGATGGAGCTGAAAACTATGGCACAAGAACTGCATGATGAATGCACAAGCTTCAGTAGCCAATTCGATCAACTGGAAGAAAGGGTATCAGTAATTGAAGATCAAATGAATGAAATGAAGCGAGAAGAGGAGTTTAGAGAAAAAAGAGTAAAAAGAAATGAACAAAGCCTCCAAGAAGTATGGGACTATGTGAAAAAACCAAATCTACGTCTGATTGGTGTACCTGAAAGTGACCGGGAGAATGGAACCAAGTTGGAAAACACTCTGCAGGATATTATCCAGGAGAATTTCCCCAACCTAGCAAGGCAGGCCGACAGTCAAATTCAGGAAATACAGAGAACACCACAGAGATATTCCTCGAGAACAGCAACT
The DNA here is from genome assembly GCF_000001405.40 of Homo sapiens. Lineage (NCBI taxonomy): Eukaryota > Metazoa > Chordata > Mammalia > Primates > Hominidae > Homo > Homo sapiens. The sequence continues at coordinate 76,253,788 of NC_000016.10, read as the reverse complement.
CCAAGACACATAATTTTCAGACTCACAAAAGTTGAAATGAAGGAAAAAAGGTTAAGGGCAGCCAGAGAGAAAGGTCGGGTTACCCACAAAGGGAAGCCCATCAGACTAACAGTGGATCTCTCGGCAGAAACTCTACCAGCCAGAAGAGAGTGGGGGCCAATATTTAACATTCTTAAAGAAAAGAATTTTCAACCCAGAATTTCATATCCAGCCAAACTAAGCTTCATAAGTGAAGGAGAAATAAGATGACTTACAGACAAGCAAATGCTGAGAGATTTTGTCACCACCAGGCCTGCCCTAAAAGAGCTCCTGAAGGAAGCACTAAACATGGAAAGGAACAACCGGTACCAGCCACTGCAAAAACATGCCAAATTGTAAAGACCATCGAGGCTAGGAAGAAACTGCATCAACTAACGAGCAAAATAACCAGCTAATATCATAATGACAGGATCAAATTCACACATAATAATATTAACCTTAAGTGTAAATGGGCTAAATGCTCTAATTAAAAGACACAGACTGGCAAATTGGATAAAGAGTCAAGACCCATCAGTGTGCTATATTCAGGAGACCCATCTCACGTGCAGAGACACACATAGGCTCAAAATAAAGGGATGGAGGAAGATCTACCAAGCAAATAGAAAACAAAAAAAGGCAGAGGTTGCAATACTTGTCTCTGATAAAACAGACTTTAAACCAACAAAGATCAAAAGAGACAAAGAAGGCCATTACATAATGGTAAAGGGATCAATTCAACAAGAAGAGCTAACTATGCTAAATATATATTCACCCAATACAAGAGCACCCAATACAGGAGCACGCAGATTCATAAAGCAAGTCCTTAGAGACCTACAAAGAGACTTAGACTCCCACACAATAATAATGGGAGACTTTAACACCCCACTGTCAACATTAGACAGATCCATGAGACAGAAAGTTAACAAGGATATCCAGGAATTGAACTCAGCTCTGCACCAAGCAGACCTAATAGATATTTACAGAACTCTCCACCCCAAATCAACAGAATATACATTCTTCTCAGCACCATATCACACTTATTCCAAAATTGACCACATAGTTGGAAGTAAAGCACTCCTCAGTAAATATAAAAGAACAGAAATAACAACAAACTGTCTCTCAGACCACACTGCAATCAAACTAGAACTCAGGATTAAGAAACTCACTCAAAACCACTCAACTATGTGGAAACTGAACAACCTGCTCCTGAATGACTACTGGGTACAAAACGAAATGAAGGCAAAAATAAAGATATTGTTTGAAACCAACGAGAACAAAGACACAACACACCAGAATCTCTGGGACACATTTAAAGCGGTGTGTAGAGGGAAATTTATAGCACTGAATGCCCACAAGAGAAAACAGGAAAGATCGAAAATTGACACCCTAACATCACAATTAAAAGAACTAGAGAAGAAAGAGCAAACACATTCAAAAGCTAGCAGAAGGCAAGAAATAACTAAGATCAGAGCAGAACTGAAGGAGATAGAGACACAAAAAAAAAAACCCTTCAAAAAATCAATGAATCCAGGAGCTGGTTTTTTGAAAAGATCAACAAAATTGATAGACCGCTAGCAAGACTAATAAAGAAGAAAAGAGAGAAGAATCAAATAGATGCAATAAAAAATGATAAAGGGGATATCACCACCGATCCCACAGAAATACAAACTACCATCAGAGAATACTATAAACACCTCTATGCAAATAAACTAGAAAATCTAGAAGAAATGGATAAATTCCTGGACACATACACCCTCCCAAGACTAAACCAGGAAGAAGCTGAATCCCTGAATAGACCAATAACATGCTCTGAAATTGAGGCAATAATTAATAGCCTACCCACCAAAAAAAAGTCCAGGACCAGATGGATTCACAGCCAAATTCTACCAGAGGTACAAGGAGGAGCTGGTACCATTCCTTCTGAAACTATTCCAATCAATAGAAAAAGAGGGAATCCTCCCTAACTCATTTTATGAGGCCAGCATCATCCTGATACCAAAGCCTGGCAGAGACACAACAAAAAAACAGAATTTTAGACCAATATCCCTGATGAACATCGATGCAAAAATCCTCAATAAAATACTGGCAAATCGAATCCAGCAGCACATCAAAAAGCTTATCCACCATGATCAAGTGGGCTCCATCCCTGGGATGCAAGGCTAGTTCAACATATGCAAATCAACAAACGTAATCCAGCATATAAACAGAACCAAAGACAAAAACCACATGATTATCTCAATGGATGCAGAAAAGGCCTTTGACAAAATTCAACAGCCCTTCATGCTAAAAACTCTCTATAAATTAGGTATTGATGGGACGTATCTCAAAATAATAAGAGCTGTTTATGACAAACCCACAGCCAATATCATACTGAATGGTCAAAAACTGGAAGCATTCCCTTTGAAAACTGGCATAAGACAGGGATGCCCTCTCTTACCACTCCTATTCAACATAGTGTTGGAAGTTCTGGCCAGGGCAATCAGGCAGGATAAAGAAATAAAGGGTATTCAATTAGGAAAACAGGAACTCAAACTGTCCCTGTTTGCAGATGACATGATTGTATATTTAGAAAACCCCATTGTCTCAGCCCAAAATCTCCTTAATCTGATAAGCAACTTCAGCAAACTCTCAGCATACAAAAATCAATGTGCAAAAATCACAAGCATTGTTATACACCAATAACAGAGAGCCAAATCATGAGTGAACTCCTATTCACAATTGCCTCAAAGAGAATAAAATACCTAGGAATCCAACTTACAAGGGATGTGAAGGACCTCTTCAAGGAGAACTACAAACCACTGCTCAATGAAATAAAAGAGGACACGAACAAATGGAAAAACATTCCATGCTCACGGATAGGAAGAATCAATATCATGAAAATGGCCATACTGCCCAAGGTAATTTATAGATTCAATGTCATCTCCATCAAGCTACCAATGACTTTCTTCACAGAATTGGAAAAAACTACTTTAAAGTTCATATGGAACCAAAAAAGAGCCTGCACTGCCAAGTCAATCCTAAGCCAAAAGAACAAAGCTGGAGGCATCACGCTACCTGACTTCAAACTATACTACAAAGCTACAGTAACCAAAACAGCATGATACTGGTACCAAAACAGAGATATAGACCAATGGAACAGAACAGAGCCCTCAGAAATAATACCACACATCTCCAACCATCTGATCTTTGGCAAACCTGACAAAAACAAGAAATGGGGAAAGGATTCCCTATTTAATAAATGGTGCTGGGAAAACTGGCTAGCCATATGTAGAAAGCTGAAACTGGATCCCTTCCTTACACCTTATACAAAAATTAATTCAAGATGGATTAAAGACTTAAATGTTAGACCTAAAACCATAAAAACCGTAGAAGAAAACCTAGGCAATACCACTCAGGACATAGGCATGGGCAAGGACTTCATGTCTAAAACACCAAAAGCAATGGCAACAAAAGCCAGAATTGACAAATGGGATCTAATTAAACTAAAGAGCTTCTGCATAGCAAAAGAAACTACCATCAGAGTGAACAGGCAACCTACAGAATGGGAGAAAATTTTTGCAATCTACTCATCTGACAAAGGGCTAATATCCAGAATCTATAAAGAACTCAAACAAACTTACAAGAAAAAAACAAACAACCCCATCAAAAAGTGGGCAAAGTATATGAACAGACACTTCTCAAAAGAAGACATTTATGCAGCCAACAGACACATGAAGAAATGCTCATCATCACTGGCCATCAGAGAAATGCAAATCAAAACCACAATGAGATACCATCTCACACCAGTTAGAATGGCAATCATTAAAAAGTCAGGAAACATCAGGTGCTGGAGAGGATGTGGAGAAACAGGAACACTTTTACACTGTTGGTGGGACTGTAAACTAGTTCAACCATTGTGGAAGTCGGTGTGGCGATTCCTCAGGGATCTAGAACTAGAAATACCATTCGACCCAGCCATCCCATTACTGGATATATACCCAAAGGATTATAAATCATGCTGCTATAAAGACACATGCACACGTATGTTTATTGTGGCACTATTCACAATAGCAAAGACTTGGAACCAACCCAAATGTCCATCAATGATAGACTGGATTAAGAAAATATGGCACATATATACCATGGAATACTATGCAGCCATAAAAAAGGATGAGTTCATGTCCTTTGTAGGGACATGGATGAAGCTGGAAACCATCATTCTCAGCAAACTATCGCAAGGACAAAAAACCAAACACTGCATGTTCTCACTCATAAGATAGGAACTGAACAACAAGAACACTTGGACACAGGAAGGGGGACATCACACACCGGGGCCTGTCATGGGGTGGGGTTGTGGGGGGATAGCATTAGGAGAGATACGTAATGTAAATGACGAGTTAATGGGTGCAGCACACCAATATGGCACATGTATACATATGTAACAAACCTGCACGTTGTGCATATGTACCCTAGAACTTAAAGTATAAAAAAAAAAGAACAGCTCTTGCAATAATTCACTATCACAACAACAGCACCAAGACATGAAGGATCCACCCCCATGATCCAAACACCTCCCACCAGGCCCCACCTCCAGCACTGGGGATTACAATTCAACATGAGATTTGGTTGAGGACAAAGATCCAAACCGTATCAGTAGTGTAGTTCATTCATTTTCATGGCCATCTATTTTGTGAACATACTACGATTTGTTTAAAGTTAATTAGGCCATCTCTGGATTTTTTATAATTACAAACATTGCTGCTATAAATTGCCTTCTTTTTTCATGTATTTATTTTACTTTTAAATTGACATATAATAATGGCATATATTTATGAGGTACATAGTGATGTTTTGATGTGTATACTATATATATAGATCAGATCAGTATAATTAGCATACCTATCATCTCAAATATTTATCATGTCTTTGTGTTGAATACATTCAATATCCTCCTTCCAGCTATTTGAAACTATATATCACTATTAACTATAGTCATCCTACAGTGGTATAGAACACTATAACTTATTCCTCCTATTTAGCTGTAATTTTATATCCTTTAACAAATCTCTTCCTTCCTAGTGTACCCTTCCTCCTCATACCCTTCCCAGCCTCTAGTGTCCTCTGTTCTACCTTTTACTTTTATGAGATCAAATCTTTTTAGCTTCCACATATGACTTACAACATGTGGTGCTTAACTTTCTGTTCTTGGCTTATTTCACTTAACATAACACTCTCCAGTTCCATCCATTTTGCTATGGCAGGATTTCATTCATTTTTATGACTGAATAGTACTCCATTGTTCATATATACCACATCTGTATTATCTATTCATCTTCTGTTGGACAGTATCATAGTCCATTTGTGTTGCTATAAAGGAATACTTGAATTCAGGTAATTTATTAAGAAAAGAGGCTTATTTGGTTCATGATTCTGCTGGCTATACAAGAAGCATGCTGCCAGCAACTGCTACTGGTGAGGGCTTCAGGCTGCTGCCACTCATGGCAGAAGGGGAAGGATACCTTGCATATGCAGAGATCACATGGCAAGAGAAGAAGGAAGACAGGGAGGCGGAAGGCACCAGGCTCTTTTTAACAACCAGCTCTTGCAGGACCTACTAGAGTGAGAACTTGAGAACTCACTCATTACCATGAGGATGGCACCAAAGTAATTTATGAGGAATCCACACCCATGACCCAAATACCTCCCATTAGGCTCTATCTCCAATATTGAGGATCAAATTTCAACATGAGGTTTGGGGGAATAAATATCTAAACTATGGCAGACACCTTGGTTGATTCCATATCTTGGTATTATGAGCAGTGGTGCAATAAACACGGGGTACAGATGTCTGTTCAATATACTGATTTCCTTTCCTTTGGATAAATGCCCAGTAGTGGAACTGCTGGATCACATGTTAGTTCTATTTGCAGTTTTTTGAAGAACCTCCATACTATTCTCTATAGTTTACATTCCTACCAACAGCATATAAGAGTTCTCTTTTCTCCACATCCTCACCGGCATATGAATTATTTTTTTGGTTTGGTTTTTTTTGTTTGTTTGTTTTTGAGACGGAGTCTCGCTCTGTTGACCAGGCTGGAGTGCAGTGGTGTGATCTCAGCTCACTGAAACCTCCGCCTCCCTAGTTCAAATGATTCTCCTGCCTCAGCCTCCTGAGTAGCTGGGATTACAGGCGCCCGCCACCATGACTGGCTAATGTTTTGTATTTTTAGTAGAGAAGGGGTTTCACCATGTTGGTCAGGCTGGTCTCGAACTCCTGACCTCAGGTGATCCACCCACCTTGGCCTCCCAAACTGCTGGGATTACAGGCATGAGCCACTCTGCCTGGCCTGGTCTTTTTTATAATAGCCATCCTAACTGGGGTGAGATGATACCTCATTGTGGTTTTGATTTGCATTTCCCTGATGGTTAGTGATGTTGAGCTTTATTAATTAATTTATGTATTGTCATTTGCATGTCTTCTTTTGAGAGATGTCTGTCCAGATCATTTGCTCATTTTTTTATCAGATTGTTTTTTGCTGTTGAGGTGTTATGAGTTCCTTGTATATTCAGAATATTAATCCCCTTTCAAATGAATAGTTTGCAAGTATTTTCTCCCATTCAAGGGACTGTATCTTTACTCTGTTGAATGTTTTCTTTGCTGCACAGAAGCTTTTTAGTTTGATATAATCCCATTTTCTTTTGGGGTTGTTCTGCTTTTGTTGTTGTCTATGCTTTTGAGGTATTATTCATAAAATATGTCTCCTGGTGCAAGGTATAACATTTTTAATAGATATATAACTAAAGATGGAATCGCTGGGTGTGTAAATGTTCAAATTTATAAGCTAACGTAAAACTAGCTTTCAACATGGCTATGCCAATATAAATTGTTGCCAGTAATCAATAATAAATTTCATTGATCCATAACCTCTCAAACACTGTATATTTTCCCTAGTTTTACTTTCTACTAATTGAATGAATACAACATAGTAGGTCATTCTACATGTTTCTGATGACTAATGACTTTTTCGTCAAATGTTTACTTATTAAATATACATGCTATCTCTTAGGAAAAATGCCAGTTGATATTTCTATTCAAAATTTTATATCACCACCTTTGGACTTTGTTATTCTGTTGGTCAATTTAAAAACCCCTGTACTCACAGCACATGTTATTCATTATAATCATTTTTAAAATCTTGGTCTCTAAATAAGACAAGTTTCCCATCATTATCCATCCTCTTGCTCAGATATGCCTTACCTTTTAGGACCATTAAACTTCCACAAAAACTTTAGAATCAGTTTGTAAAGTTTTAGGGAAAACTCCTGGCAGATTTGTACTGGAGAAGTCTTGAGTCTATAAATCAATTTAGGGAGAACAGACATCCTCAGAAAATAAGTGTCTCCATTTACTAAAATTGTGTTTAATATGTCTCAGCAAAGTTTTTAAAATTTTCATGTACAGGGCTTGAACATTTTTGCAAGATCTACTTTTAGGTCCATTATGATTTTAATTGTAAATGATATATTTAAAAGATGCATATACACATATACATCTTTCTGTCTTCTAATTGTTTGTGATGGCACATAGAAAAACGATTCACTTTTGCATACTGATCATCTATCTACTCTCATTGCTTAAGGACCTTATATGAACCATTGTTTCTCTATCTATAAAATTCCTATCACACATAGTTACTATAGAAATAAAATTAGGAAAAACTACTGACAACACACACCATTTTACACACATGTACCATTACTTCCTATTGCCTTACTATGTTAGGAAGACAGTAAATAAAAAAAGGGATACAGAGAGAAAGAAGGTGATAGGGAATGAACTCTACTGCTATTTTAGCTTACCAGTACTTCATTTTTTTGTTATATTTTTGTATATTTGGTTGCATAATAACTGTACTCTATTGGGTTAGTAAAATGCCAAGTAGATAACTGCATAGCATTATTTTAAAGCCAGGGAAAACAGATGAGCTATTCAACATGAGCTATTCAAGCCACAGTCACAATGGAATGGCTTAAACATTGTTAAACAGGTTATATATAAAAATAAAACATACTAAGATTCTTTAGGTTTACTTCACTTAAAAAAAAAAAAAAAAAAAAGACAATGGGCCAGGGGTGGTGGCTCACGCCTGTAATCCCAACACTTTGGGAAGCCAAGGTGGGTAGATCACCTGAGGTCAGGAGTTCGAGACCAGACTGACCAATATGGTGAAACCCCATCTCTACTAAAAATACAAAAATTAACCGGGCATGGTGGCATGCACCTGTAGACCCAGCTACTTGGGAGGCTGAGAAAGAAGAATTGCTTAAAACCAGGAGGTGGAGGTTGCAGTGAGCCGAGACTGTGCCAGCGCACTCCAGTCTGGGTGACAGAGCGAGACTCCATCACAAAAACAAAAAACAAAAACAAAAACAAAAAAAAGATATATTATTTTATATTTTTGACTATACCTCTATTATATATAGTAAAAACTAAATTTTTGATACATGTTGGGCTCATATGATTCTTTTTCCTGCCTTTCTGCCTTCTTTTCTTCTTTCCCTCCCTCCCACTTCCTTCTGTTTTTCTTTTCTTTCTTCCTTTCTTATTTTCTCCTTTCATCCCTCCTTTTTCTTCCTACCTCTCATTCTCTCATGCGTGGTAAATTTAAGATGCTTTGAGTCCTGAACTAAACTTGAGGGATAATGTATGCATGGTTTTAGACACAGACTTGAAGCATTAACCCGTCATTCACCTTGACCCTGGGGGTTAGAATAGCAATTCATGATGATGTCACCTTGGATGAGCATGCTTATTTTTCAATATTTCATATGTTCACATAAATGTAATATATTCAAATATTTAATATTAGTTTGTGAAGGAGGTATTTCAGACCCTAATATTAGAGAAAGAGATTTTGAGATTTTAAATGTTCACACTATTAAAATCCCATGTCCTGAAATACTGATTAAGATCCACTGTGTTTGTAAGCCAAACATTTAGGAAGTTTTCTCAATAGATATGCCGGAAGACTACATTTAATAGTCTCTAAACTGTGGAAGAACACGTATAATAAAGTACATAAATGACCTCTAATTAGGAAAGTTTTGCTTCAATAAGCTTGGAATGACTCCTTTTTTCGAAACTGTTGATCCATATGCATGAAAAGTAAATCTCCACACCAGAGTAGCTGAAGATTTTTGCTTACTTCATCTTTTATAAAGTTATAAATAGTCGAACGAGGTAACTTAAAGGTGAACCAGTGAAAATTCTAACGAAATGTATTTTTTACATGTTGACTCATTTTTAGCATTATCCATTTTAATCTCTGTCCTCAAATAAGAGCTATTTCTGGAAGAAAATAAACATAATTCTTGTTCAATAAAGCCCCATATGCACATATATTTGTATGTACCGAGTCACTTAACAAGAGTCATATACAATACATATAACAAGAGTTATATATATTATTTACAGTAGTAAAATGCCATTGGAATACATTTGACAAGAATAATTCTACTGTTAAATAAATGTGAATCTAAAAAATCTCTTTTATAGTGAATGTTGTCTTTCCTTCTACTCTTAAATTTTCATTCCAACCATCAGACATAATGATTTTTAAAAATCCATGTTCATGTAAAATGGACGACTCTTTCCTGTGCAAAAATATCTCTTTTGAGAAGTCTAATATATGGTTTTTGTACTATGTATAACTTTTAAAATTCGTCTCCTCTCCCTTGTTTTGCCTTCTCTTGGATTGGCAAAATGTAAAGTAAATAATCACATTGCATATATTCAGGGAAAGCAAAGAACATAATCAAGAATGAAAGTCATGACATGATAGCTTCATCATTTTAAAAAATATTTTATATTTTTTAAAAACCTACCATGAATTATGCAGTACATTACACAGGAAGTAGGGGTAAAAAGTGCTCCTGAGTTGGAAGATACTGATAGTTATAGAGGATGCTTACTCATCAAAATTTTCAGATGGTTGAAGGTGAAGTTTGTCACCACAGACAAAACAAATTATGGAGATTTAGATTCCCATAACAGCAGAATTAAATTACCTATTTTATTCTCCTAATAACAGAAACAAAAATAGAGTATTTGGTGCCCTTTTCCCATCTCCCCAAGAGAGAAGTTTTTTGTGTGTAACTAACTGTACGAAGAAGCCACTTTGATTATGATAAACTCTAATGTGAAAGAGCAAAGCCATGTTGCTTTTCATATAATTATATATTAGTTCAATAAATATTTGTCATTTCAAACTCTATTAATCAAGATTCTTTATTCTCACAGGTAATTCCAATGTAAGTAAGAGTCTCTAACACATAATTGGATAGCCTGCAAATGACCTCAGAGGTTTGATTTCTTTATTATTAAATATAACAGGTATTTTTTATTTATTTGGGGGAAGTTTGTAGAGATATTTGTAGACCTCATCTAACTTACACTACACAATCCTTAAGGCCTCATTCAAATCCAAGGTTCTGTGAGATGAATAAAAGTTTATGAGTGTATAATGTTTTTGATTACTTTTGAAGAAAATTATGAAAAAATGATCTTTTAGGAAATAACATTAGTTTCTCTGGGGTAAAAGTTAAAATGAAGTTAATTTATTTTACATTGTTCCCAGTTTTATCTGATCAGACTTTAATTTAAAATTAATTCAGTCTATTTGGATAAGTGGTGCACAATTCAATAGAAACAATTACCTAAGTCGTGTGTAAACGCAAGATTTGCCAAAACCCCCACCTATGTTTCTCTTTCAAGGTGTCTGACATTTCTGGATAACGTTTACAAAAAGGAGTTCTGGCCAACACAAAGTCCACTTCCAGAAATGTTACCTGGTATCACAAGTCAACTTAAAGCATTATTGAATCTCTTCAGATTCAACGTTCTCACTGTTAAATTTCAAGAACATAATATTGCAACATAACAATTCAGGGATATTAATTCAAGAACACTTAATTTCTTCAAAAAATAAAAGTTAATAAATCTTTAGTAGCTGGAACATTTTACATAATTTTAATATTCATTACATTAATAAACGTACTTATTTTAAAAGTGAAATTTCATTGAAAAGTTTACAATGCACAATAGCACTCTCCCACATCTCCCATCCCTCTATTTATTAATTGGATAACTGAGATCAAGTCATTTGATATATTTTTGTTCCATTTTCTTCATCTCTAAAGTAGAAATAACTACTTTCTTCATCTGTAGGCTGGAGATAACCCCACCTCTTAGGGTTGTTGTGAAAATCGAATTAACAAATATGTATAAAATAATGTGCACAATGCCTGGAATATGGTAAGTGCAAAATAAATGTTAGCTATTCTTATTATCACCCCTACCTCTCCTGTTTTGATTCTCTCAGCTGTCACTCTCAATCTTTCCCCTGGCATTTACCTCTATATTTTTTTAAATGATGTATCACTTTTGTACATTTTATTTGCTTTTGACTCTGACAGACTAACTTTGTGTGCCCACACCATCCCCCAGTATCTCTCAAACTACCCATATAAAGTTGCTATTTCATAGTTCTGATTAAGTCAAGAATCGTCAGTGTTTACATTTTCTTTACATTAATTAGAAATTTCACAGACACATAGTAATAAAGCCAACAACAGTGATTTAAACAAGCAGAGGCTCTATTTTTATCTCACAAGGATTCTGGAGGTAGATGGTTACTATTCTTCCCTGCTGTCCTCAGTATTTTGCCTTTTATTCTTACAGTTGTCAAACAGCATCGCCTGATGGCTAACTCAGCTCCAGGCAACAGGACCACCTTCAAAAGCATGAAGCAGGGGCTGGCCAGGGTGGCAAAATCCTTTCATCTCCTCTGGACTGTTCTTATTAGGAAGAAAAATAACTTTCTAAGAAGTTATCCAATACAATTTCTCCTGCATCTCATTGACCAACACTGAATCCTGCAGTGGCTCCCAACTCCAGGGCAGGCCATGGCAGTGAGGATATTACACAAAAGAATGGCATCGCCTTAATTGGCTTAGACCAGAGAGTCTCAAACTTTCTCAGTTCACAGCGCCATTGGTATCCGTGTGATTATTTTCATTGTGCCCAAGGCAAAAGAAATATCAAACAATCCCTTTTTATAAGTAAGTTGGTACCAAAGAATGTAGTATGTGTTTATATCCCCAACAACTTAGTAGCCATTTGAGTAAATACCAAACATAATTGTAAAAACAAAAACAAAAACAAACAAAACAACCAAGTTCACTTTTAAATGACTACAATTACTTACTAAAGGGAAATGTGTGCCTTCTGGGCACTGCACAACTTCTCACATTTTAAAATCAGATTAGACACCAACACCCTCATTTCCTATTCCACATTGATTTCCATTTAGCACTTTTTTTTTTCCATTTAAATCACATCAACCACTGAAAATCCTCCTTCACAAAGATAGGACATCCTAGAAAACAAGGTAGATGGAACTAAGAGTGGAGTCAGGAAGTGCCTTTAGCTAGCTCCACAGACTAAACCTCCCATCCCCTGCATACCTGTACGTGTGTAATGGAGGAGAATTTCCTTTGGTGTCAGTGGTCTGTCAACAGAATTTCAGCCAGTTTTTCTCTTTTCAGCTCAGTGTTTGACCCCTACCTCCAGGAGTACTGGAAATCCCTAAGCACTGATATTTTCAGGGTTCCTCTGAGACTAATGATTTGACTACTTACCCACATAAGGTTCTGGGTTTAGTTACTCTGTTTTTTTTGTTTGTTTGTTTTTGGTTTTGTTTTTTTGTTTTGTTTTGTTTGTTTGTTTGTTTGAGAGGGAGTTTCGCTCTTGTTGCCCCAGGCTGGAGTGCAAAGGTGCGAACTCGGCTTACTGCAACCTCTGCCTCCCGGGTTCAAGCGATTCTCCTGCCTCAGGCTACCAAGTAGCTGGGATTACAGGCACGCACCACCATGCCTGGCTAATTTTTTGTATTTTTAGTAGAGACGGGGTTTCACCATGGCCAGGCTGGTCCTGAACTCCTGACCTCAGGTGATCCGCCCACCTGGGCCTCCCAGAGTGCTAGGATTATAGGCGTGAGCCACTGCACCCGGCCTAGTTACTCTGTTTTTAAATTAGTCACCATTCCTCAGTCACCTTCTGATTCCCAGTAAAGCTGTCAATATCTTTATTCAGTGGTGGACTCTCAGAACTCTTTTCTTTTTCCATGTTAGTTGATGGTTTGATTTGGTTGTGTTTTTATTTTAAATTAGTAGACTTTATTTCTTAGAGAGGTTTTCAGTTTACACAAAAATTGAACAGGAAGTACCGAGTTCCCATACATTCTCTATCCCCAATACCACTCCCCAACACCAGTTTCCACTATTTTTTTTCACTATTTTTCTTTTTTAATTTAACTTATTTTAAGTTCAGGGGTACATGTGAAAGTTTGTTACCTAGGTAAACTTTGTCATGGGGGTTTGTTGTACAGATTATTTCATCACCCAGGTATTAAGCCTAGTACCCAATAGTTATTTTTCCTGATCCTCTCCCTCCTCCCACCCTCCACCCTCCCAAAGGCCCCAGTGTGTGTTGTTCTCTGTATGTGTCCATGAGTTCTCATCATTTAGCTCCCACTAGTAAGTGAGAACATGCAGTATTTGGTTTTCTTTTCCTATGTTAGTTTGCTAAGGATAATGGCCTCCAGCTCCATCCATATCCACACAAAGGACGTATCTCATTCTTGTTTTATGGCTGCATAGTATTCCATGGTGTATATGTACCACATTTTCTTTATCCAGTCTATCACCGATGGGCATTTAGGTTGACTCCATGCTTTTGCTACTGTGAATAGTGTTGCAGGGAACATACATGCTCATGTGCCTTTATAATGATAAAATTCCATTTCTATTATGGCAGTGGGGTTTTGAAAAGAGATAAAAATCAGGTTGATCAATGCAACATTTTTAACTGGAAATTCAGACTGGATTCTGAAAATGACTCAATTGTGGCAAGGTTAGGGATAAAAGTAGAGAATCTCTGGTATTGCCCATATGAAGGATATGGATAAGCTGTTATTAGACAATTCATGGTCATCCATTGTCTATACCAAATACTGAGAGATTGTGTATTTTGGACCTCACAAAACTTCCTTTGCTGCCCAGGTACGTAATATTTCAGGATGTTCTAAGGTTCACCACAGTGCCACTTCTTTCCACAGCAAGGCTGCCCTAATCAATGGGGAGATTTTTTTTTCTAAGTCGCCCATCTCCTATTCAAAATATCCATTCATTTCTTCACAGTGACTTAGTCTCTACACTGATGGGGAATGCAAACAAGTTTTACCCAGGTAGTAATTCTAGGTGATTTGCAGTGGCCAATAGTTTTGCATTTGAGTTTTATCAACCTCCAATTCTGCAACTTTTTACATTGTGAAAAAATAGTAGTTTTAAAATACCTGAACACTTCTGTATCCACTTTATCTATTCCTAGATATCATTTTCAAAATCAAAAATGTTTTCTTATTCCTATTAAGAAATAAGATATAATATGTTATTTTGGAGAAGACATGATATAGTTCCACATTTAGTTATAGATTAAACATTACCAAATCCAAAAAGTTCCTATATTACTCCTTCTACTCAGCTCCCTAAAAGACTATGAAATTATTGTTTCTTTGGAAGTTTTAAATGCCAGAAATCTTAATATTTGTGAGCATGTATCCATGTTTCACTATTGAACCTGGATTCAGAGTTGGCAGTTAAAACTTCTACTTCAGATGAAATTTGCAGAAACAAACAATTGTTTTTATTTTATATTCACACAGGGTATGTGTTAAGTTCAGATTTTATAAAGGAAAAAATGCCTTAAAAATACCAGTTTCATTGTATTAAATAGAAAGTAATGCTTCTGCCAGCAGGAACATAGATTATGTAAACTAATCTTTGCAATTGCTCATCAGCACATTTGGAAAATTAACTTTCCAGTCTTTTAGAAGCTTGAAAAGACTTGAATAGTTAGTATTTAAAATGAAAAATTTTTATCAGATATTAAAATGCAGGAGAAAAAATGGATGGATTTCATTTTTATTGCAGAAATTAGTCACTGAATCCTAATCTTAAAGCTTCTTTTCAAATTATATTTGTTACCTGGAGACAGCAGTTCATGTTTTTTTTAAAAAAAATTCTGGATTGGGTAGCTTCAAGAAAGTTATATATATGATTATTTAAAAAAAAATTTACACACAAATGCACACACACCATTGTTTTGCAAGCTTTCCCAGTAAGAGCAAGGCCACCATATGTGAAAAACTGTTTGGTACTTTGTTGAGATGCCCTGAAATTCTGTATTATCTTTTGGTTTCTTAATATGCATATTGGCCGGGCACGGTGGCTCACGCCTGTAATCCTAGCACTTTGGGAGGCCCAGGCGGGCAGATCACGAGGTCAGGAGATCGAGACCATCCTGGCTAACAGGGTGAAACCCCGTCTCTACTAAAAATAAAAAAAATTAGCCGGGTGTGGTGGCAGGTGCATGTAGTCCCAGCTACTCGGGAGGCTAAGGCAGGATAATGCCGTGAACCCAGGAAGCGGAGCTTGCAGCGAGCTGAGATGGCGCCACTGCACTCCAGCCTGGGCGACAGAGCGGCGAGACTCTGTCTCAAAATAAAAAAAATGCATATTAACACTCATTATTTTATTATGATATATGTAGCACTTTCCATACTGATTCACCTCCGTCTGGAGACTGTAAATTTTTGGAGGCATAAGCCATGATTTTCCTTAGTAAATAAAATGGCAACATCTGCACATTACTAAAACTATAGTAAACCCTTAAGAAATATGTGCAAAATATTTTTCAAAATAAGAGGTCTTGGTTACAAGCAAAAGAAACTGATGCTGGTGAGCATAAGCAATACGGAAATATAGTAGAAAGATAATGTCAACTCCAAGGGATTTCCAAGGACTTAGCTTAGAAAATGCACAGAATTCAAGGCAGCTCTGAGGAGCCAAGAATGTGGACCTAGGTGTCCTCTTGTCTTTGCTCAGTAGCACCAGGCCTGAGAGTGGAGTAAGCAGTCAGCCAAATATTAGATGCATGCCCACATGCTGATTGCCAGAGTCAAGGAGGGAGGTGTGGCCCTCTGGCAGCCATATTGGTAGGCGGCCCTCTACTTCTTACCAGTTAACTCACTGGGGAATGCCCCAGAGCCACGATTGGGGTAAATTTTGAGTAGGCAAAAATTTACAAGTTGAACTTCCCCTTAATTTCACACATGACTTATCTCACATGACATTTCTAAAAATTTCATTTTATAGATAATACTTCTCTGAATGTAATGGAATATATTCCTTATGAATACAATTGTGCATATTGATTCTGCAAGGAAAGTCAGGTCTCATCAGTCTAGAATCACGGGATCATGTCCATTTATTCTGTGGAATCATTTTGTTCTATCTCCTTTTTTGTCATTAGAGTGCTACTACATACACAAATTGATGAAATTGCCCATAAAAGATGATATCATATGTCTTAGGTTTTCTCTGTATTCTGTAACAGTTTATAGAAACCTTGATGTCTTAGTTTATTTGTATTCAAACCATCTCAATTTTTTAATTCCAAAAAGTCCAGTTTGGGTGGGAAGTATCATCTCTCATTTGTTTTTACTAAATGTGTATTTATACTAAAGATCCCATGTAGTTACTTTTTTGCAAAGGAGAAAATGAGTGATTTCAATTTTTTTAACATTGCTTTTTGAATAGTTGAGACTCTACAGCAAAAGTCAATATAGTTCCTTATACTTCTAAAAGAGTAGTTCAGGACAGGTGCAGTGGTTCACACCTGTAATTCCAGTACTTTGGGAGCCTGAGGCAAGTGGATCACTTGAACCCAGGAGGCAGAAGTTGCAGTGAGCTGAGATTCCGCCACTGCACTCAGCCCGGGTGACAGAGTAAGACTCTATCTCAAAAAAGAAAAAAAAAAAGTAGTTCCTAAAGTAACACTTAAGTAGGGAGTATGTTCTTACATGATTCTTGAATTCTGATCACCTTTAATAGAACCACAGTGAATTAATTTTGGGGAGAATGCGACTCATTTTCTTATTTATTGTACTTTAAGTATGATACCATTCTTTGAAGCCATGAATTTATAATCCCCTCAACATTTAAAAAATGATGAGTTGGACTGGATGCAGTAAAAAGAGAGAACTTTTATGAGTTGTCCAAAAACTCCCTAGCCTAGAAGATGCCCAAATTCACAACACCATAGTTACAATTTTTTAGGACATAAATTACCTTTCCAAATAATTACTGAAATAGACCAAAAAAAATCATGTTAAAACCTTTTAAAATAAAAATCCTATTAAAAAAAGTTATATAGTACTATGTTAGATTACATGCGTATTTTATAAAATTGAAATATGAAAATTGTTTAATAATATTTTACTTCACTAGAAGCCTTTAGGTTTATCTAATGTCTATTTGGAATCCGTTGTGATGAGTAGAACTTAATTAAATAGTTAACAATTTAATAAGTTTTAAATTTGAGTGTTTTTCTTTTCAGTCCTATTTTGTAGTATATATTTCAGCAGACTTACGAATATTTCAGCAAAGCAAAATAACAGTGGGCCCTACCTCATAGAATTATTATGAGAATTGAATGAGATAAGTCTTATGAAAATATTAACATAAACAATTTTAATCACAATAGTAATATTAATAGTGCTCTTATTCCTCTTACTGCGTTTAGGAACAAATATGCCTTACTTTAAGATTTTAACCTAAAAATCTTGATATATACTGTAACTACCACAATGACATGTAGTGTGCAAGATTTTAGAATTTAATAAAGCATGTTCAAAAATCGGTGCTAATGCAGGACCACAAAAGTATTCCTAAAATTATGCTACATTGAGTAATATGATTTTTTGTTTGTATCATATCAATCAGAACAAGTACTTTATGAGTTTGAACATATGGGGAGAATTTAGCAAATGAACTTTTTATCTTAAAAGTTAATAGATTCTCCACATGTAGCAATGCATTAGTGAAGCTATTATCTCGGAAAGATTAAAAAATAAAGACACAAATGGAGGGAATTTCTGCAAGAGAGAGGGGAAAAGAAAGGGAGAGAGGAGAGGAAGAAGTCTTAATAGAAAATGTGCACATTGGCCGTTCTCTCTTTCCGTACCTGGCCGAGCAGGAGACGCCATCATGGGAGCTGACATCTGCCACAACAAGGACCGAAAGGTTCGGCGCAAGGAGCCCAAGAGCCAGGATATCTACCTGAGGCTGTTGGTCAAGCTGTGCAGTTTTCTGGCCAGACGAACCGACTCCACATTCAACCAGGTTGTGCTGAAGAGGTTGTTTATGAGTCGTACCAACCGGCCACCTCTGTCCCTTTCCCAGATGATCCAGAAGAGTGAAGCTTCCTGTCCGGGAAAACAAAACGGCCGTGATTGTGGGGAGCATAACAGATGACGTGCGGGTTCAGGAGGTGCCCAAACTGAAGGTGTGTGTGCTGAGTGTGACCAACCTGGCCCGCAGCCGCGTCCTCAGGGCAGGGGGCAAGATCCTCACTTTTCGACCAGCTGGCCGTGGACTCCCGCAAGGGCTGCAGCACCGTCCTGCTCTCCGGTCCTCTCAAGGGCCGAAAGGTGTACGGGCATTTTGGCAAGGCCCCGGGAACCCCGCACAGCCACACCAAACCCTACGTCCACTCCAAGGGCCGGAAGTTCGAGCGCGCCAGAGGCTGACGGGCCAGCTGAGGCTACAAAAACTAACCCTGGATCCTACTCTCTTATTAAAATGATTTTGGATGCAAAAAAAAAGAAAAGAAAAGAAAATGTGCACATTGACATTACAGTGGGGGGTGAGAAAAAGTCTCTTAAGTAGCATTTTACATGAGGTTCCTCATTGTTGGTTTACTCCAAATGTTGTCAAACTTCACGGTACATGAGAATTGGCTGGAGGGCTTAATAAAACGCAGATTTCTGGGTCTCACCCCCAGATTCTGATTTGTAGTTGGGTAGGACCCCAGAATTCAAATTTTAAGTTCCCAGCTGATCTCATCCTGCTGGTCTGGCGAACCTCACTTGGAGAACCACTGGTCTAGTTTGTAACAGATTGACAGACTACTGCTTCATTCTACATGTCGGTAAGGAAATCTAAAAATGTTTTCATGAATACTACATAGGAATGATACAATTCGTTTTCCCAGATTTTACCTATTATTGTTAAGAATAAGCTGTTAAAGTTTGTTACACATATAAACAATTATTCCATATCCTGAGGGTTGCATGTAAATATAGGTATCCCACAAACATATTTAAAAGCACAAATTAGACACAATAAGCATTTTTAGCCATGGCCAATGAATAAGAATAGAGAACATCAATTAAATTGATAGAAATTAAGGCCAGGCGCGGTGACTCACGCCTGTAATCCCAGCAATTTGGGAGGCCGAGGTGGGAAGATGGCCTGTGCCCAGGAGTTCTAGACCAGCCTGGGCAACAAAGTGAGACCCCCGTCTCTACAAAAAATTAACCCGCATGGTAGCATGTGCCTGCACTCTCAGCTACTTGGAAGGCTGAACTGGAAGGATCGCTTGAACCCTGGGAGGTTGAGGCTGCAGTGAGTCATGATCACGCCGCTGTACGCCAGCGTGGGTGACAGAGTGAAGACTCTGACCCCTCCACCAAAAAAAATTGTACAAATTGAAACAACAATGAAACACCATTTTTCCCATTTCAGAAAGGGCTTCTGAAAATGTTTTATAATATCCTTTACCTTGTTGGTGGAAGTCTAAGGTCATGCCACCTAGAAAAAGGATGATTCCTGAGTTTATCTAGGTGGTGAGATTCGGAGTCATGATTTATACTTATTATGGTTTCTTATATTAAAATAAAACTATAAAATATAAGTAATGAAAAATGTATTATAATGTTTTAAAAACCAGTCTTGCTTCACTATGAATCATGAATATGAGTAAAACATTTTAAAATAAAATTGTTTGTCTTCTTCATAAACATCCTCTATTCCATAGTTATATTAGGTCACTTTGTAAACAATATATTTAGTAAGTCGATGGTGGATGGTAGTGAATTGGCACAGGAGGAGAAAAGGTAGATGCAGATAGGCAGCAAGGTAACACAGAGAAAGGGATTTTAGTTCTGGAGTGGAGGACTCATGATGCTGACCACTTGTGTTGTACAACTCATATGACCTCACTAGATAGTTTCTCTCTACAGAAATATCCATTAGTTGATTAACTGCTCCCAGGTCTGCAACTGCACTGACCATTCAGGTTAATAGCATTGCTCCTGGACTAGCTGATGTTGCTATATTCTCATATTCTTAAAGAACCATATACCAAGAAAGCACAGCCCAAATAAAGCACCCATATTGCTTAACAGGATACTCCAACTGAACGCCCCTGCCACATTTGTAGTGTTTTTTATTTCCTTAAACAAATTTCCTTTATTCACAGGAGAAACTCTTCCTTAGCAACATGAAGTAATCTTTCCTACATGTCATCAGCAATTATACAAATATGTACATGTATATATACCTATATATGTACGTGTGTTTATATATTTGTGTATATATGTGTGTATACATACATACACACATATCAAAGTAGATTTGTAGGTAAAAGAACAAAAAATGGCAAATGTCAATATCAAAACCTCTACTGCTGTAGCTCCTAAAACATATGAAATGCATTAGCATTTTCTGAAAGTTAATTTTCTTGATATTTAAATCATATAAAAATATTAGGTGAACTAATCATGTTATACACTAAAAAGGCTAAATGAGGCTGGGAAACATAAATTAATCCACATTCAGGACTAAGTTAACCCGTTTTGTAAGCCTCTGGGAACCACTTAACAGAAATTGCATAATCTTGCATAATAGCAAATCGACGGAATACTCTAGAAGTTTGCTGATCTAGCATTTAATTCTTGCAGAGCAATTATTGGGAAAGGATGTTCTGTCTGATAATAACATTGCTACAGTATTTAGATTTTTTAAATCCAGTGGAAAGATGAATTTGATGGAGATATGATCTCTGTCACACACATACGTGCACGTGCACACACAAACACACACACACACATCCTCCAGTGGTATAAGAAAGCCTCATACTTTAACTATACTAATTTCTTTTCATGATACCAGTTGACCCAACTATGCAGTTCGATGTTGACTAACGGATGAAATGCATGGCTCTTCCTTACACACCAACCCAAAGTTTGTACAGATTGTTTTTCTATTTTTCTGTTTTGTAACATCACAAACAGGTATCCTTTGGTAAAATCTAGATACATGAGAGATACACCTCCCCAACCCGGGTAACTTATCTAAGTTGATAATTTTTAAATTTTTGTTTTAGTAATTAAAAACAACTAACCTATAACAAGAGGACATAGGAAATAACAATCTCCCTTTTTTAGAAACCAGCTTTTCTTACTCTTATATTTTAATGACTTCAGCAGTGGACTTGCCCTCCCTACATACTGATTTTTGAATCATCTTTCTGCACATCAACTGATTAGAATTTACAGCTGTTCAGAAACAACAGATGCAACTTTGGTTGCAAAATGAAATTCAAACTCTTTACTAAGGACACAGCCTGATCAGAACTTTTCAGTGCAGCCTCTTTCTCACCATATAATTCCACATATCCTTTTAAAAATCCCTTTTGGCCAAGCACAGAATCTCACGCCTGTAACTCCAACAGTTTGGGAGGCTGAGGCGGGTGGATCACCTGAGGTCAGGAGTTCGAGACCAGCCTGGCCAACATGGTAAAATCCTGTCTCTACTGAAAATACAAAAACTAGCTGGACCTGGTGGTGGGTGCCTGTAATCCTAGCTACTCGGGAGGCTGAGACAGGAGAATCGCTTGAACCCAGGAGGCAGAGGTTGTGGTGAGCTGAGATTGTGCCATTGCACTCCAGCCTGAGCAACAAGAGCAAAATTGTCTTGAAAAAAGAAAAAAGAAACAATGGCCGGACGCGGTGTCTCACGCTTGTAATCCCAGCACTTTGGGAAGCTGAGGTGGGTGGATCACCTGAGGCCGGGAGTTCAAGACCAGCCTGACCAACATGGAGAAACCGCATGTCTACTACAAATGCCAAAAATTATCCGGGTGTGGTGGTGCATGCCTGTAATCCCAGCTACTCGGGAGGCTGAGGCAGGAGAATCACTTGAACCTGGGAGGCGGAGGTTGCAGTGAGCCGAGATCGCGCCATTGCACTCTGGCCTGGGCAACAAGAGCAGAACTCCATCTCAAAAATTAATTAATTAATTAATAAAATAAAATAAAATCCCACTCATTCCTGTAAATCTGGGTGACACCTTTTAACTAACTTTCTCTTGTCATCCCCAAGGATTAACCTCTACCGTCTCCACCATCTCCACCATCATCAGGACTCAGGTCATCTGTTTACAGCTCTCTCTGTGTCTGATAACTTTGACCCATGTTAGCTTGGAGCTCCAGGATCAGGGATCTTTCTGAGGTCAGCACAGTGCCATCACTTTACAGCCTTGTTCCCAGTTCCTCAGTCCACCACTGGGAGAAAGACTGACTGTGAGAGATAGACTTTATTGGTGGTTAAGGGAAATCTAAAAGAAATTACAGTATAAATGAAACTTAAAACCCTATCTTAATGTAATTGTTTACAGAGTTCAGGAGAAGAAAAAAGACCAAGTTCTTCCCACGATGTCTTCAAAAATGGCCCCCGTTGCTATTTCTCATTATCTTTGTTATTTACTAGTCACATACTCCTTGATGAAAACCATGATTTTGAAGCCCAGCAGTCTAAACCCTCATTCCTCTTTAGAAAAATTCAACTCCTACTGTCAGGGGTTAAGGTAATCCTACTATCTTTCTCCATCTTCTCCCCGAACCAGGACAGCTTAGTGGACACAATAGCTCAGCAGCAGCATGTTTTCCAGAGTCTGAGATATTATTTCAGAAATTGCACCACAGCTGGACTTGGGCAAGTGCTTCAGGATGGTTCAGAACAGGCCCCGACAGACTACATAATTATCTTTGAGTTCTTTGCCCATGAGAGGGGAAGACATGACTCTTTCTTCTTCCTGTAGTAGTCCAGCCTCTTTTTGTAGGTTACTCTGGAGGGGATGCATCCGAGTGCACGCGTGTGCACACAGACAGAGGTGCATTGTCCTACATTCATTCATTCAATGGCTATCTTTTGAGACCTCCCACATTTCAGCCACTGTGATAAGAAATATGTTTATAATAATAAGCAAAGCAGACTTGGAGCTTACAGTCATGTGAGAAAGGCAAGTCATGTCAAACACAAATCTTTACTAGTCAGTGTGATAAGCACAGCAAAGGAAAATTGTAAAGCATGCTGAAATTGCTCAGTTGAGGGTCCTGACCCAGTGTTGGGGTCAGAGAAGGTGTTACTGACGAAGTGACTCTGAATTTCTGTCTAAAGTCTAAGTATTGATTAAGTGAAAAAGGAAAACTTGTGACCAGAGGAAGCATGTCTTAAGGCTTAGAATTGGTCCAAATTGTACCAGACAGTGTAAGACTAAGACAAACCCATCACTCCTACAAAACATAATTCCAATAATATACTCATGATGGTGCATCAATAAAATTCTATTTAAACATGAAGGGTTATATTTTTTAGGTCCTGATGTGGCTAGATTTAAAAGTAAAAATATACATTTATATCTGAAAAGCTCATTCTTTCGACATTTTAATATCAGCCAGTGCCTAAGTTATCTTTGGAACCATTTTCCTTTGATCACAGAAGCCTCAATGGCACTTTATCTTCTGGCAAATAATAGAATGATTACATACATTTGCTTTAACCTTCTGAAATTGCTGGGAAAGAGCATATCTATAAATATACAGTGATAATTGATGGTCAAAATGCCAGTCTGGGTTTGAGCTCATTGAACAATTTTAGGCTCAAGAAAGAGAACAAGTTAAAATTTCTCTGAGCTTGTATTGCTTCTAAAGATTCTTTCCTTTATGCACTGTGATTTCTTAATGGGCTCTAGTGACACTGTTACACATTTATAATGTCTCTCTTCTGAGTAGTCAAAATGCAACCATTATGTTTTCTTAACCTATTAATGCAGTAATACTTGATTAAATGCATAGAGAAAATGAAAAATTCAAAAAATAAGTACTCCAAACAGTACAGAAGGCTCTTAAGTAAAAGTAAAATAAAGTCTCCCTTTCACCCTCAATCCTTAATCTCACTAGCAGAGTTTCCATACTATCAACTATAGTATATCTTACTTTTTTGTCCCTAACAATACTTCCTTTAACTCTTTCTATATAGCACACAAGAGTCTTCCCCATAGTATTCCATCCTCTGATTGCATTTAACTTGTTTATATTGGTGATCTTTTGGGTCTTTGTCTTTTGTTACTGTGACAGATCCTGCAGTACTAGATACAAACACTGCCATAAACAATACAAACACTTCTGCAAATATATGTGTATAATTGCATTAGTCCATTTTCACACGGCTGATGAAAACATATCTGAGACTGGGTAAGTTATAAAGAAAAAAGGTTTAATGGACTCACAGTTCCACATGGTTGAGGAGGCCTCACAATCATGGCAGAAGGCAAAAGGCACTTCTTACATGGTGGCAGACAAGAGAGAATGAGAGCCAAGGGAAAGGGGTTTCCTCTTATAAAACCATCAGATCTTGTGAGACTTATTGACTACCAGGAGAACAGTATGGGGGAAACCACCCCCATGACTGAATTATCTCCTACCATGTTCCTCCCACAACACATGGAAATTATGGGAGCTACAATTCAAGATGAGATTTGAGTGGGGACACAGCCAAACCATATCAATAATATTCTATTAATATTATTTTAATTAGGTAATTAACTTAGATATTAAATTAGATAAATTAAGAGTATTAATTGCCTAATATTCTTCAGATATTTAATTTTCTCCCCTACACGGCTAGGCACAACCATGCAACCTTTGTGTCCAGTGACATGGCCAGTGAAGATCTACAGTTTGATCTTCCTTGCTTTTCCTGTTCTGCCAAGATGACTCAGGAGTCTCAGTATTCCAGAATGTTCAGCTACAAGATTGTGGAGTTTCCGTCAGACTGGTTATGTGAACCAGGACTGGTTATGTGAACCAGGACCTTCCCCCAACTACTTAATTGAAACCTGCACTGGACCTCCAGCAGCAGTGAGAAATAACTTACCAGCTATCAAGAAAAGTTTTAATCTTTGTCATGATATTTTTTCCACTCAGCCTCCATGGGGTTCAAGCACTCACTCAATAGACAGCCTATACTGTAAATATAATTCTGCCCCTATAGCTCATGCTTATTTATGTAAATTGTTTCTCCTTATTTGGAAGACCAGGAAAATTTATGCTCAGAGCTTAAAAGTCTCCCAAGTAAAATAAAATTGGTATTGAAAATCTTGTATAAATCTTGTATGTGTATGTATAATATGCATTTCAACCATAGCTTTTATTATAAGGCGTTAGGTTTTGTGTGTGTATGTGGTTTGTTTGTTTGTTTGTTTGTCTAGACGGAGTTTTGCTCTTGTCGCCCAGGCTGGAGTGCAATGGCGTGATCTCGGCTCACCACAACCTCCGCCTCCCAGGTTCAAGCAATTCTCCTGTCTCAGCCTCCTGAGTAGCTGGGATGTACCACCATGCCCGGGTAATTTTGTATTTTTAGTAGAGATGAGATTTCTCCATGTTGATAAGGCTGGTCTCAAACTCCCTACCTCAGGTGATCCGCTGGCCTCGGCCTCCCAAAGTGCTGGGGTTACAGGCGTGAGCGACCACGCCTGGCTGTTTTGTTTTGGTTTTTTTTGCTGTATTCACCTTGCTTGTGATAGCCTGTGGATTGATATCTTAACCTGACCCCCAGTATTTCCCTCTTGGCATCTCACCTGAAGCCAAGAGATTGTCTGCTTCCATGCATAACTGAGATACATTTCCCTTGATTCCAACCACTTATTCCAATACTCTGTTGAAATTTCATGAACACTCCTTTGATTTATATGATAATATGAGCATCATTGACATAAGATACATGTGTGGTTATACTAGCATACATATTAGAACCTGCTTCCTTGGTGGGGGTGTCTCTACCATAAAACTTGTCTTCAGAGGCTACGTGCGGTGGCTCACGCCTGTAATCCCAACACATTGGGAGGCTGAAGCAGGCGAATCACAAGGTCAGGAGATCGAGACCATTCCTGGCTAACAGAGTGAAACCCCATCATTAATAAAAATACAAAAAATTAGCCGGGCGTGGTGGCAGGCGCCTGTAGTCCCAGCTGCTGAGGAGGCTGAGGCAGGAGAATGGTGTGAACCAAGGAGGCGGAGCTGGCAGTGAGCCGAGATCGCGCCACTGCACTCCAGCCTGGGTGACAGAATGAATGAGACTCCGTCTCAAAAAAAACAAAAAAACAAAAGCAACAACAACAACAAAAAACTTCGGAACCCATGTCACAGTGGTTAATTTCATATTTGTTTGCATCATTACGTAAGGATTCTATGACTCCCCTCTACTTCATGAGGGGCAGGGATCCATTTGTTTCATTTCTCTGCCCCCAGCCCAAACCCATGGAATAGCATCTGGCTCATTTTAGTTGTTCAACAAACATTTTTAGAATACTGTTTTTTGTTTAATTATAATGAGTGCTTTTATATTAACATAGTAATATTTGAAGCAATTTCTCTTCAAAAAAAAAAACTTGGAGCATAAATACATTATTTGAGAAGATTATTGTCCCTCTTAACTTTCCCTGATAGGGACTGCACCAAAATTTTGTTTCATATATTTAGTATTTAAATATGTTATGTTTTGTATGTTATTATATGTGCCTGTATACCCTGATAAAGATTGAATATACAAATGTGTAAACATACATACACACAAGCACGAATGTGTAAGTGAACTTTGTAAACTATTAAGTCAGTGGTTCTCACCAGGGACAATTTTGCCCCCTCCCCAGAAGACATTTTGGCAATTTCTGGAGACATTTTTGGCTGTCACAACCCATGGGGGGATAGCTACTAGTTTCTAGTGAGTAAAGATCAAGAATGCTCCAAACATCCTACCACACACCAGACAGCACCCCTCCCACCCACTTCAAAAGAATTATTCATCCCAAAGTGTTAGTAGTGCCAAATTGAGAAATCCTGACTTAAACGATGACCTTAAAATTTTAAATACAGAAATTGTGTAACGCATGTTTTTTCTGAGTTGACATGGGCGATATATGCCATTATTCAGGGCACATTATGTACTGATTTCTTTTGTTGCAACTGAAATGTTTAGCTTCATCAAACTGTTGCAGTCCTTACAGGCTAGATGTCATCCTTGAAGTTGGAGGAAAGTGAAATCAACCTGTCTTGATCACATAACTCTCTGGGCAAGGCCTCTCAACGCTGCCGCCTTGCTACGATACACGCAGCTCTACGTGATGCGCCAAATGTGGAGGACCCAGTATCCAGATCTGTAGGGTCCGCTGTTGGAAGACAGCGAATGTGAACTAATGCCTAATCCCAAAACCCACTATAAACTCTGCCTTTATAAATACTCGTTCACAGTGTGTTTATGTAAGGGCTTACTCATCTCCGGTATTAGCAGCAAGCATAATTCCCTTGTGTGCCCAGAATGGATAATGTGAAAGGTTAAACAGTATTTTCTATTCCCCACGGGAGGTGATCATCTTTATGATGCCCTAAGCTCCTCGATTAGCCTTTTACAAGGGAACAAAGTAAGCTGTTCTACGTGTGCCTCAAGCGGCAACTCTCTCAAAACAGATTTACCCAAAACACTTTGAAAACAGTTTTACCATTCCTTCACAACCTTGGAAAATTTAATAATTTAGAGGTCTGCACATTGACCATTGAAATATTTTGTCATTGATGTTTCCATTAAATTATAGTTGCTTGAAGTCAGCATGGGTTTGAAATTCTTTCCAGTGAATACTCCGATTTCTTTCACTCATTTATCAAGGATGTTTATTGACAGTTTGCATGAATAGAATCCTGCCTTTGGACATTATTTTTACAAGAAAGGAACAATCGTAACATTGACTACGATTCTTTGCGAGGGAAAAAGAAAGTTGCACATCAATAAAAAAATATATTTCTCATCAGCATTTCTTTTATGCACTAGAAAATTTTCTACTCAACTTACTTGTGAATTCAATGGAAGCACTATTAGACAAGCGAGATTTCAGATCCCATTGGTTAACTTGCTCCTGCCCTTTGACTGAGGCCTAATGACCAGGTTAGGAGGTTAGGGGAAGGGGAAGTCTGGGTTTTCTCAAACTTAGAACAGCACCTCACTTAAAGGTCTTATTTACCTCTTCCTCCCTCGAGTGGAACAATAGAAATGTGATGATAAATTGGAGACTGTGGGTTTTCAGCTAGATGTTTGATCAGAATTCAGAACATTTAATAGATATTGATTGAGCTTTACTATGTGTTTAATAATAAACTCCCTGTTAGGTGGCTACAAGAAGAAACATGTTTTTAGTGTGAAGAATAAAATGCTACATATTATTATAAATCTAAATGATTATATTATATTATTATTACCATTGTAAATGATAAATTAGTGTTAAGTAACCCTATGCTGTAGGGAGGAGTTGACATTTCAGCTGATAGTAGAACAAGAGAGGCAGGAAGAAATGGAAGAGAAGAAAGAGACCAACAGAGACCAAAATGCAGAAAAGCAATAGCCCTGGCACTGGGAATAGGGGAAATTTGGGCCTCTAGAGCCTTGCCAACCAACAGAAATATAACACGTACCATATATAATTTTAAAATTTCTAGTAGCCATATTATGAAAAATAAAGCAGATGAAATAATTTTAATATTTAACCCAATAGATTCAAAATACTATCATTTTTTAAAATTATTTTATTGTTTGTTTTTTAAGTTCCGGGGTACATGTGCAGGATATGCAGGTTTGTTACATAGGTAAACATGTGCCATGGTGGTTTGCCGTACCTATCAATACATCACCTAGGTATTAAGCCCAGCATGCATTAGCTGTTTTCATTAATGCTCTCTGCACATCCCCCGACCCTCCGCTGACAGGCCCCAGTGTGTGTTGTTCCCCATCCAGTGTCCATGTGTTCTCATTGCTCAGTGACCACTTATAAGTGAGAACATGGAGTATTTGGTTTTCTGTTCCTGAGTTAATTTGCTGAGGATAATGGCTTCCAGCTTCATCCATGTCCCTGCAAAGGACATGATCTTGTTCCTCTTAATACTATCATTTAAAAAAACAATCAATATAAAAATTCTTGGAGATATCTTTACATTATTTTTATCACATTAAGCTTCTGAAATTTAATGTGTATTTTGCAATTACAGCACTTCTCATTTTGGACTGGTCACATTTCAACAGTCAATAGTCACATGTGTCTACTACTGTATTGAACAGTGCAGCTCTAGAGTTTTGAACAAAAATGCCCAGGCTGTGAAAAACTGGAAACAAGCTGAACAATATGAACATGCATATCTCCACTCTGGACTCTGTCTGCAATGGAATATATCCAATAGGCAAAGGGATGCATGACTGCATTTTGTATTCTTTGGACTATTTGTGCACCTGTCTGACTTGCAGTAAGGTTGCTGGGTAATACGTTGCACCACTCCTGTCTTCTGTGGGTGGTGTGGGGGCCAAAGCTCTTGGTCCCCTAAAGGTTCACTAAAAATCACTGACATAAGGCAGATTGATTCACAGGAGAAAAGACATCCAAATTTACTTAATGCATATACTTGGGAGCCTTTAGAATGAAGACCCAACTTCCCAGTAAGTTACAGAAATTTATATACCATCCTGAGGCCACAGTAAAGAATGCAGATTCGGACCACGACCAGAAACAGGTAGACAGGTTAAGAGAGTGAAGAATGGAAGAAGCTTGGCTAGCAAACGTGTCCTTGATACGTAGATGATGCCTCCCTCAGAGATGATCGGTGGTAAATGTTTCTTTTCAGACTTTAAAAGGTGTCAAACTCTTAATCTCTCCTGGCACCTGGGAAAAGCATAGAAAGGGGAAGGACTCTGGCTGAATTAATGCAAATTCTCAACAGATGCAAATTTTCCCCGCCAAAGACAGCTTTACAAGGCCAAGTGTCAGGATGGCCAAGTGGCAGCATTTCAAAATATGTCAAAGAAATATATTTTGGAGTAAAATATTTCAATTTCCTTCACTGGAGTTACCTTCAGGAGATAAATGCCCAAACACCTTTAGAGCCTGGGGAGAGAGGCCCTGGGAGGAGGGACTGTGTCTTAGCTATTTCAGTGTTTGTCATAAGGGGCAGGCTAATGAATTTTGGTTCAGTAAATGATGATGGAATTCTACAAGCAGAAAAGAAATTAAGAACACAGATAGAAGATTACAGACTGGTGTGAAATATTTACATTCACTCATGTTTGTATGCTGCAGAATTTATATTCAAATATAAAATATGCAATGGATACATAATAGATGTAAACATTAATATTTGAAAATTAATACACACTTAACCAAGATGGCCTTAGAGTTGCCCCCTGCCCCCCCACCCCCCAGCTTGACTTAATTTTAGACAGACTTCTTCTTGACCACAGACCTCCCTATTCTTAGAGCAGTTACTTTAGAAAATGTCTAATTGTAAATTCTTTTCCTGCCCCTTTGAAATGTATGTAAATCTTCTCCCAGCCTCCTGACAGTTTTGCAATCTAGGCAATGTCTTTCTCAAGGACCTGGGAACCATCACTTTGAAATGTAAACACCGAAGGAGATAGCACTCCTATCTCCCAATCTCTGTGGGAGGGTAGCAGCCTAACTTTGATGGATGCCAATTAGCAAACACAGGTGGTCTAATCACAGAGAAAAACATTTGCAAACTCAGGAATAATTTATGTGCTCAACACATACCATTGATCAACTTCTCCCTTAACATCCACGGCTACTTTTCTACTTGCTCACCTTAGCCTTTAAAAACCCTCTCACCTTTGTTTCAGTGGAGTCACGTTCAGTCTGTCTCCCCTACTTCAATAGACTGAATAAAGCCTTCCTTCCTTTCCTGTTTTGCTTTATTTGGCACACTTGGTTACAGTATAATTTTCCTTGTTCCAAAAATAATGCAGGAAATAAAATAGAGCTAAGTAATAAGCATGAAGTATAGGATTTAAAGAAAAAAGAGAAAAATAAAGATTAAGACATATAATGGTGCCAGCCAAACTGCCTTGGAAAGTCTGAAAGAGGTGACTAAGAAAAAAAAAAAAAAGTCAGCTAAAACATGAGTTAGGATGTTATGAGCTAATTTAAGGCAACAGTATTTTTGTGGGAAAAATGAGTTAACAAATATTCCCCTGAAGTGTATAACCTTATTTATAAATTGAGAAGGTCCAGGCATCTCACTCCTTTTTAATCTGCCTAGGATGTCTTTCAATTTCTCAGGAATGTCCTAATTATATACATACCCTGTCATCTTGTGACTTCCTCACTATGTCCCTTTCACTCCGATTGTACCATGTGCTATTTGCTTTCCTGGCTGTCCGTGAGCATTCTGACCTGGACTTTGGGGGTTGACCTCTAGCCTTCTATTAAGTGCTGATTCATAGGTCAGCGTTCTTCATCATCTTTATCCTCTACAGTGTCCTAACTGTTCAGGGAAGTTACTCTTTTTCTGGATATTTCCTCAAACATGAAGATATAAAAGCTATCTCTAAAAGATCTAAAATGTGTAACATTTATAGGAGTCGGAATACTATTTCAGATGGATAGGTCATTAGCCTGTGGAGTGTGGCATTTAGAAATGTTTTATAGTCAAACATCTGATCAGAACATTTATGAGTAGTGCTCACATAAATCCTTTAGCAAATTATATCTATAAATGCAAATAAAAACATCTTCAAAGCATATTTTCCATCATTAATCATAAATATGTTGCTTCTGATAGTTATGAATTCAGCAAAGCAAGCAGAGTTTTATATAACAACAGATCTTAAAACACTGTTAGGTAAAATACAAGATATGTAAATTAAGATATTTAGCCTAGCCAAACAATAAAATCATTGGATATAGCAACAGTATAAATAGACATCATTAGAAACTAATAATCTTTTCTAAGTCACCAGAGAAGAAACATAAGATTATTTATGTGAACCAACAATCACGAGATTTATATCTCAAAAAAATCAGCATACATAAGGAAATATATGTGTAATTGGGTGTTCATTTTAGTTTCCGAAAAGTTAGCTTATTACCTGTCATACATACTATAATATTAAAATAGACACTGAAGTTTATAAAGAATATTCACATAAGTAGTTACTGGATTCTAACAATTATAGATGGGTTGGAATTTTTTAAACTTTTGACAGTGCTTTTTTGCCTCCTTCCTCAAGTAAGCTCAGAACTTTTCAGTTTGGGCAAATATACTTTAGGATTCTGTAAGTTACAAGAATAATGGATACAACCTGGCATTTTATGAAAAAAGAGATGCATTGTCTAGTTTTTCAAAAATATAAATGCTGCTTCTCTGGAACTTATCATTAGATTTTTATTTAGAAAACACAAGGAGAGACAAATGAGAAAAGGGCGTGGGTTTTTTTCCTTTAATATGCACCTGAGTCAACTCTGAGAGTACACATATATTTTAAATAAACATTATGTATTATTAAAATAAATTTCATATCTGTATTTTACTGCCCCTATGAAATATTTTCCATGTGTCTGTGATCAATTGTTCCTATTCCAAATAGGTCCTATTTCAATTAAACTATTGGATTTAAATGTAAATGTATTACACAGTTAAGAGTATTCACTAAGTGAACTATTATACTCTTAAGAAATTATTATTTGTAAAATACACCATCAAATTATGCAAACTAATAAAAAAATGATAGAAAGATAAGTACTTGCCAGTAGTTACAAGTGCAAAACAACTTAAAGGATAAGTTTCTTTGAGTTTTAAGTCACACCATTTAAAATGCAGAGAATGAATCTATTCAAAAAAAATCAACTATGAAGAGAAGCATAAATCAGAGTGGAAAAAAACACTTCAACATGAGAGGAAATCGTACTGGTGCTCTGAGACAAACACATTTCCTGAATTGACCTCGTGTTCCAAGTGGAGTGTTTTATTTGTTTGTTTTTGCTTAGTTTTGTCCTTTTATTTCTTCAAATATTTAATATCTCAAGTGCTTCAGCATCTTTGCAAAGTGAGAATTACCTGAAGAGAGGTGAGAGCATGTGGCAGGGTACATCGATTCTTCATTATCTGTTCATTTGCTGGTGTACTGTATTGGTGTGTAGAAAAAAATTAGTTAAATTATTGCAAAGCAGAGATTTGTTTATGAAAACTGGAGACCCAAACAAATGCTCAGAGCCATTGTGTTATTGACTTAATGGTCTGTCAATGAGCTGTATAACCACCCTCTGTTAGGAATGTTGCTGGTTTACCTAATATCACATGTTCTCTCCTTTAAATGTTTCAAACATTGAAGTCATGGAGTAATTTGAATCCTTATTGACTGCAATCTCCTTGAGCTCTCTCCCAAGCTTTCCCTTGAAGCTATTTTATTATGTTTAAGTAACAAAATAAAGTTGGCCACTAAAGGTGAGATGTGCTTTATTCTTCCTGGGGTCAAAAAAAAAATCATAGTATTTGTTTCACAAAAATGTCAGATGCATTTTTCATTTTCAACCAAGAATTAAAAACACAACATGTTGTATTTGTTAAAGCTCTGCTTGAGACCCATACTTTGCCCTAGTTTCCCCATGATCAGAGTATTTTTCACAGAGACGAACTCTAACCAGACCCAGCATTCAGCGCTCTTTTTGAAAAGTTTGAATCACTCTTCTCAATGTTAGTCATGCCTGTATCCTTTTAAAGAATTATAATCCAGTGTGCCTTTGAAGTAAAACTTCTAAAATCTGTCTAGAATAAAATGCTGGATGATACTCTGGATTTATAAATGATAAAGACAACCTAGATTGATTCTAACTCAAATATCCACTCAAAGCCAATTTTCAGCAATTTTTGTTCATCCCGCAATATGTTGGTTCCAGTTCTCTTCTGGGCTTGGGATAGGGCTAACATGTCTGCCCTCATGAGTGTCTATTATATCACACAACAATTTTAAATACACACATGCTTTCTAGACTTGTTTAAGTGTGGGTGCAGTGAAGCTACTGTATGAAAGTGTTAAATATATAGATGTTGCCACTGTGTGCTTGAACTCTAGACTACTTCATCAACTACTAGGTGAAATGTTTTGTTTTCACAGGATGAGGCATGATAATATGTTTACAATCATTGACACATAGTAAATATTTAACATATGGCAGCTATTATTACTTTTGCTAAATATGTTAATTACAAAATTTCAATTGAAATTTTCATTTCAATTAAAATGAAAAAAATTTGCTAAATTTTTCATTAAAAAATGTTAAATTTTGTACAAATCATACTCTATATACAGAAAAATTCACATATAAATACTTTACGGCTCAATGAATTTTTGAGGCTGAAATTTAAACACCGCAGCTCAACTTCTGAATAAAACTCTTATTTTACATTACATTTCTTTTGTTTTCTTTTGTTTTTGTTTTTATAGATTCAGAGGATACAGGTGCAATTTTGTGTTTTATCCTCATGTAATCTAAAATCTGAGAAATGTCGTCAATACCATAGAATTCACACATATAACAATATGAGCTTAAGGGTATAGTTTAACTACCTATACATTGACCTGAGCCTTTGTTCACAAAGCAATATAAATATAATCATTTTTCTTAACTGGACATTACCTATCAAAGATTTTTTTCCTTATGTGTGTGTATAAGCGGTGCATAGGATATAATGATAAAATTAAGGCCAGGCATAGTGGTTCACATCTGTAATCCCAGCACTTTGCAGGACTGAAGCAGGATCATTTAATGCCAGGCATTTGAGACCAGCCTGGGTAACATAGCAAGATCCTGTCTCTACAAAAAAAAAAAAAAAGTTAGCCAGGTGTGGTGGTGCATGCCTGTTCTCCAGAGGCTGAGGCAGGAAAATCACTGAAGCCCAGGAGTTTGAGGCTGCAGTGAGCTATGAGCATGTCACTGCACTCCAGACTGGGCAATAGAGCAACACCCTGTCTCAAAAAAAAAATAATAATAATGAAATTAACTTGTATTGAGTATCTGTAAATTACAGGCACTGTGATAGACATTGTAATTTTGTTTTTCCATACAGCAGGAATACTGGATCCTCACAATATGGCTATCAACAGAAATGTTTAAGTTTATTTTAATCTCAAATTTGTTGCATTGAAAAATTTTAAATATATCTATTTATGGTGCACAACATGATGTTTTGATATAGATACACATTGTAGATTGGACAAAATTTCAGTTAGGAGGAATAACTTCAAGAGGTCTACCATACATCATCAATGACTCCAGTTATTGAGATATTATATATTTGAAAATTGTGAAGACAGTAGATTTTAAGTCTTCTTACCACAAAAAGAATATCATTTATTTTTATAGATAAGGAAAATAAGATACAGAGGGATTGAGCATCTTGCCCAATACCACCCCTGGCAAATGAATTACTGGGATTCCAATGCAACCCATGATCTTTCCACCATCCCAGTTTAGAGGTGGAAATGGGGTGGCCCTGTTCCTGCCCATCATAAAGGGTCACAGCCAACACATCCATAACAAAAGACAGGTGGACAAAAGGAAAGCATAGCAAATTTATTAACGTAAGCACTTCATACAAAAAAATATGGAAACTCAAAGAATGGTCAGATGGTTGAAACTTAAATAGCCTCTTCATTGGAAAGAAGGAAGTGGAGAACCGTAGACAATTTAGAGGGGTAGTCAATGATTATAGGAGCAATGAATGGATCCAAGAAACAGAAATTAGCTTGTCAATTATTCTCTTTGTAAATTGAATGGGATCAGAGAACAAACATGTCTGGGCTCTAGGTGTGGTGCTTAATTTTCAGGATCTTCCTCTGTGATATGAGTTTCAATCTTCTCTGGTTGATGGAATTTTAGGAAAGGGACCAAAAGCAAACGTGTTCCTCTTTGGAAGGTCCAGTTTCTAGGTAGATAAGGAACTCTCAGAGAATGACCTCATCCTGTGTTTTAGGAGAGACAGAGGGTTGAGAGACAGGAGTGGGGGTGGGGGTAGTAGTCAGTGAGAACTTCAGGCTGCTTCCTTAGTTCAGTATGTCTCAGTGCACATTTTGGGGTATTATTTTCTTTGCCCCAACACCAGGTTGCCACTGACATTGAAATTGCATCTCCATGATCAGATCATTTGAATGCAGTAGTTCCTCAGTTCCTTTTCAGACACTACTACTAATGAGTTTTACCATTACAAACGTTATTCTTCACATCGCTCACAGACTTTTTTAAAAAAATTTCAGGCTCTACTTGATAGAATTTTATCTTATCCATAGGCTAATAGAACACTTCAGTAAAACCACATACTGTCTGTTTTTTGTGCTTAGTCTTGTATGTCCATCTCTCGCACTACTAGTCAGTTTCAGAGAAAGTGAGCCAGAGAGGAATTCAAACACAACAGCTAAAGCAAATCAGAACATAAAATTGATCGACGTCCCTCGGTGCATTTCTATCGGGAAAATCTGAATTCCATCTTCTTATTTTATTCCATTTCTGCATGATTAATCTCGCACTGAATATTTCTCTTTGGAAATTCACATTGATTATTTAGTTTTTTACCCTACCACACATTCATAATTGTTCTTTCTCGTTTGTGTTTCTCCCCACCCATCACCTACTTTTAAAATCCTAGATAAACGTTTGACTTATCTTTCTTCATTCCCCTTTGTCCAAAAGATAAATAAATTCTGCGGATTCTGTAATTGAACTGTCCTGCCTCTCTCTCTCTTTCTGTCCCTCTCATTGTTTCTCACTGGACAAAACAGTCTGAGTGCTTATAGACCAATTCTTCATTAACCTTACATCTTCTGGTCTACTATTTCTATTTATCCTCTGCCTTAAGCTATTTCAGTTAATGATCCTGTTGCCATGGTCTTCCTTCTGCTTAACTTCTAAAGATTCCTTCTAAAAAACTAAATAAGCAAAAATAAAGTTCTTTCTGTTTTCCAACTATTAAAGTCTCACCTTGGTCATCCAAGCTCTCCCTAATCTGGTTCATCTGGTCTTTAAGGCACAGGGATTCTAATCCTTACCTTTGTTGATCATGCATCTCCCCACAAATACCTTACATCCTCTTTCCCCTTTGTATGTAAAGAGAGGCCACAACATGATACTCAAAGCAACTTTATTCACCATTTCAGCATTGTGCTGAACTAAGAACAACATAATAGGTATGCAAAAATTAGAAAGACTAGTGAGCTATATTAATATTTATTTAATAGCATTCAAGATTTTTCCTTAAAGCACCAAAATTATATAATTAACTAATATAAGTTATTTGTATACCCTCTTTTAAAACAACTATACTTTTATGAAAATCCATTTATTCTCCATCCCCTAGAGGTTATTAAGTTTTCAATCTGAATGACAAGGCAGTTGCTTTAATATTAGGCCTGATTCCTCACTTTAAAAAACTCCCCAACTACATATTGTTATATGCATGAAGTTCATCATTTTATTATCAAAAGCCTCAGTTTTTTCCTTTTTTTAGTATTTTTTATTCTCATTATTAATTTATTTTTTTCTTTCTTTTAGTATTTTTTATTCTCATTATTAATTTCTTATTTCAAGCACCATGTACTACTTTTATTTCAACTTAATTTCTATCTGGCATTGTATTAGTTTCCTGTGGCTACTGTAACAAATTACAAAATGATTTTTTCTTTTTCTTTTTTTCTTCTTTTTCTTTTTTTGTGTGGTACCCCAGTTTCTTCAAGAATTGCCTAGCACATTGCAGATGCTCAATTAATATATGTGAAATGAATGAATAGGTGTTGTCTCTATTTTCACCATGATGTATGCAATTTTTTCAAGGAATTATGGCTGGCCAACCACTCCATGTTACTGCCTTAGAGACAGTGAGCTCACTGCCTCTAAAAGGACTCAGGTCCTTGATGATCAGTTAAAAGGTAGGTTATTGTACTGGAAGGATTCCTATAGTAGGAATGGAAGTGAACAAATGAGTTTTTAACCCACCTCCAAACCTGATTCCACACTTCTATATATAATAGGGAATTGGCCTCATTCACATTCCTACATGAACCAATTAATGGGGTATTCATTTTGTTGTCTTTATTCTCCTCTATTTCTTAAGATATGTTTCCGTGCCATGTGGTAAATTTATACTAGTTTCCTGCAGTTACTGTAACAAATTACCACACATTTGGGACTCAACAGAAATTTGTATCTCATTGTTCTGGAGGGCTGAAATCTGAAATCAGTATCACTGGACCAAAATCAGATGTCAACAAGGGCTAGGTGTGATGTCTCACACCCGTAATCCCAGCACTTTTAGAGGCTGAAGCAGAGAGGATGGCTTGAGCCCAGGAGTTTGAGATCAGCCTGCAAAACATGATGAAACCCTGTCTCTACAAGAAAATACAAAAATATTAGCCAGATGTGGTGCCACATGCCTGTGGTCCCAGCTACTCATGAGGCTGAGGTGGGAGAATCACCTGAGCCATGGAGTTCAAGACTGCAGTGAGCTGTGATCATATGAGATCCTGTCTCAAAAAAAAAAAAAAAAAAAATGTAAGTCAGTAGGGCCACATTCCTTACAGGGGCTCTAAAAGAGAAGCTGTTCTTTCAGCTTTTGGTGGCTGCTGGCATTCCTTAGCTGTGGTCGTATCATTCCACTCTGCCTCCAGGGTCACATTGCTTTCTTGTGTGCATGTGTCTTTTCCTCTTCTGTCTGTATCACATCTCCCTCTATCTTATAAGAACAAGTCTGATTGCACACTGATAATACAGGATAATCTCAAGATCCTTAACTTATTCACATCTGCAAAAACCCTTTTTCCTTATAGGTTCCAGGGATTAAACTTGCTATCTTTGGGTAGCCATTAATCATCCTACTATGGGCATATATAAAATTACTGTAAGCCACTATATCTTAACTGTTACTCCACATATGTACATTTTAGTACACAAATTTTTATATAGTTGCAATTAAATGATAACCAATAGGTTTTATTAAAAGTCAGAGTCTCTCAAGAAAGAAGAGTTTAGAAAATATGTTGCTTACAGAATGTAAGTACAGATGAAAATGGGGATTAAAATTATTTTAGAAATTATTTAAAATTTTAAAAGTACAAACGTTGTAAGCAACCTCTGTATAGAGCATTTCACTGATGAATAATTTTAATGTCCTTATAAAGAAAAAAATATAAAAAATAAAGGCTACTCATAGATAAAACGCCACAATTATTTTTTAAGTTAAAAAAGTTAAAAAATAATGTGGGAGAAAAGGTACATTACAGGAATCTGAAAAGTGGAGGGGAAAAAAGCCCTTCAATTCTAGAATGTAATGTCATAGAAATATGTTAGGTTAATGAGTTTTCCTGTTTAACCATGAGCAGGCATAGGGATGTAATGTCATGGAAATATGTTAGGTTAATGAGTTTTCCTATTTAACCATGAGCAGGCATAGGGAATTCTCATTGCACTTTTAGTTAACCATTTTTAGAAAAATGTGCTATTATTTAAAAAGTTAAGTGTCAGTGATTTCCAATTACAGAGTTTGAGGTCCAGGATTCTCAGATTTCTGATGGCTTTTTAACATGATTTTTCTACCATGAGATTTCCAGGCTTTTCTGTTTGGGGAGTTTTTCCTACAAAACTTGGAAGTATTTTAAGAACAGCTTTTGGTAGTAATTCAATGCTTTCCTGGCTGATATTGATTGAAATAATACACTTCAGAAAGGCATGAAAATTTAAAGAACTATTTTAAACTGCAAAACTCTTTCCATTTGATTTCAGGTTGACAGTTTAAAGTAGATCTCTCTTTTTGTCTTTTTTTTTTTCAACTTTTATTTTAGATACAGGAGGTACATGGGCAGGTTTGTTACATGGGTATATTCTACCCAGGTAGTGAGCATAGGACACACTAGGTAGTTTTTTGACCCACACCTCCCTCCCTTCCTCTCCCCTCATATATTATGTAGTGTCTATTGTTCCTATGCTTAAGTCCATGTGTGTTCAATGTTTAGCTGCCACTTTCAAGTGAGAACATGCAGTATTTGGTTTTTTGTTTCTGTGTTAATTCACTTAGGATTATGACTTCCAACTCCATCCATCCGTGTTGCTACAAAGGAGATGTTTTCATTTTTTATGGCTGTGTAGTATTCCGTGGTGTATATGTACCACATTTTCTTTGTCCAGTTCACCACTGATGGGCACCTAGGTTGATTCCCTGTTTTTATTATTGTGAATAGCACAGTGATGAACATACAAGTATGTGTGTGTTTTTTATATGGTGATCTATTTTCCTTTGTGTATATACCCAATAATGGGATTGCTGGGTCAAATGGTAGCTCTGTTTTAAGTTCGAGAACTCTCTAAATTGCTTTCCACAGTAGCTGAACTAATTTACAATCCCACCAGCAGTATATAAGCATTCTTTTTCTCTGCAGCCTTGCCAGCTTCTGTTGTTTTTGACTTTTTAATAATAGCCATGCTGACTGGCATGAAATGGTATCTCACTGTGGTTTTATTTTGCATTTCTCTGATGATTAGTGATGTTGAGCATTTTTTCACGTTTGTTGGTGGCTTGTACGTCTTCTTTTGAGAAGTGTCTGTTCATGTCTTTTGCCCATTTTTCTAATGGGGTTGTTTTTTTCTTGTTGACTTAAGTTTCTTATAGGTTCTGGATATTAGGCCTCTGCTGGATGCATAGTTTGCAAATGTTTTCTCCATTCTGTAGGTTGTCTGTTTATTGATAGTTTCTTTTGCTGTGCAGAAACTCTTTTGTTTAATTAGGTCCCACTGGTCAATTTTTGTTTTTGTAACAATTGCTTTTGGGGACTTAAGACAAAAATTATTTGTCAATGCCAATATCAAGAGAGTATTTCCTAGTTTTCTCCTAGGATTTTTTATAGTTTGAGGTCTTGTGTTTAAATCTTTAACCCATCTTGAGTTAATTTTTGTATATGATAAATGGTAAGGGTCTAATTTCATTCTTCTGCATATGGCTAGCCAGTAATCCCGCCACCATTTATCAAATAGGGATTCCTTTTCCCCATTGTTTGTTTTTGTTGGCCTTGTCAAAAATCAGATGGCCTTAAGAGTGAAGGCTTGCTTCTGAGTTTTCTATTCTGTTCCATTGTCCTGTGTCTGTTTTTGTACTATTACCATGCTATTTTGATTACTATAGCCTTACAGTATAGTTTGAAGTCACGTAGAGTGATGCCTCTGGCTTTGCTCTTTTTGC
The DNA here is from genome assembly GCF_000001405.40 of Homo sapiens. Lineage (NCBI taxonomy): Eukaryota > Metazoa > Chordata > Mammalia > Primates > Hominidae > Homo > Homo sapiens. The sequence goes on along the minus strand of NC_000016.10, from coordinate 76,212,444 downwards.
TTATGATTGCTTTGGTTATTCAGGCTCTTTTTTTCTTCCATATGAATTTTAGAATAGTTTTTTTAAATTCTGTGAAAAATGACGTTGGTGGTTTGATAGGAATAATATTGAATCTGTAAATTGCTTTGAGCAGTATAGCCATTTTAATGATACTCATTCTTCCAATCCATGAGCATGGAATGTTTTTCCATTTATTTGTGTCATCTCTGATTTCTTCCAGCAGTGTCTTCTTATAGTTCTCCTTATATGGAGCTCTTTCATCTCCTTGGTTAGTTGTCTTCCTGGGTTTCATTTCCTTTGTGGCTACTGTAAATGGCATTGTGTTCTTGATTTTACTCTCAGCCTGGACATTATTTGTGTATAGAAATGCTACTGATTTTTGCACATTTATTTTATATCCTGAAACCTTACTAAAATCGTGTATCAGTGCTAGTAGCCTTTTGGTGGAGTCTTTAGAGTTTTCTAGATATATAATCATATCATCAGCAAAGAGAGATAGTTTAGTTTGGCTTTTGCCTACTTAAAGTAGATCTTATTTTATAAAAATATTTTGCCTACCACAAACTAATATCATAAGAAGGAAGTATTTGCTTGCATAGAATTTTATACCTGGAATAAAGAGGGAGAAAGACTGAGATAGCACATCTTAAATAATCAATAAGGTAACTTCAGATTATAAAACGTAACAAAATAATGTAGGATTCATATTTAGGCAATTTACATGAATTCTAATTTCAATACAAAAAAAATTGTTTACTGAAACGATGCACATCATTAATCTTGACTGACTGCAATAAGAAACATCATGCAAACATTTTCATCATGTATTAAAAGGTTTTGTTTGTTTTATAAAAGACAGCATCTCACTCTGTTGCCCAGGCTGGAGTGTAGTGTCACCATCATAGCTTACTCAGTCTCCTGAGTAGCTGGGACTACAGGCGTGTCCCACCACATCTGGTTAATTTTTAAAGTTGGTTTTTTTTTTTTTTTTTTCTGTAGAGATGAGGTCTTCTACATTTCCTAGGTTGGTCTCAAACTCCTGGCCTCAAGTGATTCTCCTGCTTCAGCCTCCCAAAGTATTGGTATTATAGGCATGAGCCACCACACCCAGTTTAAGAACTGTTGAAAAGGCCACTGTTGATATGGGACTCTGATATTTTCTCTTAATTTTCCTTTTTTGTTTTTAGCACTTTAATCTCAAATTCCTGTGATTTCTCTGTCCCCTATCCCCATTCCCTTCACCATTTCCCGTCCAACTCAAAAATTTTATCTCCCCATTGGGAAGTACTGCAATTGGTGTTAAGGGCAGTCCTTGTCTTTATTTTTGAACAAATGCTGTCCAATTATTTATATAATCATGCATACTTTACTCCTTTCCTACTGTTATTTATTCAGAAAAATATCAATTCAGCGTGTTTCTAGCTTTGGACTTGATGCTGAAGACATAAAGGCAAATAAGACAGAGCCTCTGGACAATGGAAGCTCATAACCTAATGGTTGAGGCCAACTCATCCGCATGAGATTTTCTAGCCCCAGCACTACCGATATGTGAAACCAGATAATTCTTTGTTTGGAAAGGCTCTGTGTATTATAGTATTGTTAGCAGCACCCCTGGCCTATACCCCCCACGAAGCCAGTAGCATCACCTCGATTGTTAACAACCACAATGTTTCCAGACATTTTGTCTCCTTTGGAGTAAAATCACCCCTGGATGAAAATCACTGTTATAAGCCGATGTGCCAGATTCAATAATAACACGCAGCCTAGGGTCAGAAGATGAGAAAAAAGTCCGAGAAGCCAATCTAGAAAAGGCGGGATTTGCACTGAATCTTAAAGGACCATGCAGCAATTACCCAGTTTTATGTTGTTTCTGGAGAATTTCAAATAGGGAAATTCACACACAAAGGCACAGAGATGAGATTCCGCATCATTCATTTGCAGGTAGAACCAGGGACTTATAAGGCATGGGTGCTTTGAAAGCTAAAATGTGAAAGCAGCAAATAGGGATACGTGAGGCTGAAGTTGTAGGGAAATGTCAGATCATGGAAGACCTTGTGTGACACGTCAGAGCAATTGGACTGTATCCTGTGAAAAATGGGCAGCTGCCACAGCATGACGGGGAGAATTGGATTTGGAATAGATGGTTTTTGTAACCCTGTTAGAGTACTGTGTAAGATCTATACAGACAGAAATCATGCCTGTGCGTTTTATGTTTTCCTCCTTTTAAAATCTAACACACAGCAGGGTGATCATAGGTGTTCAACACATACTTGTTGAATGATGAATAATACTAACAGTGAAAAAAATTAATAGCAAGTATTTATTACATTTTCACTGTATGTGTGGTGCTTTTCCAAATGTTTACATGAATGACAGAGCTGGAGAGGATTTGTGTGATGGCAAGAATCCTGGAGTAGAAGAAATGGTTAGGGAGAATTGAATTATTACAAATTTTGGAAGTAATTGGCAGGTAACAGCAACACTAGCAAATGTTAAGGTCTAAGGATACCAAGTGACATCATCTTTCTAGTTAGTGTCAAAAAACATACAAGATCCCATCCAAGTTTATTCCCTAGAGCTCTTTTAAATAATATCCTGTCTCTCTCATAAGCTTAACCATTTACCTCTGTTAAGCTCCAAATTTATTTTTAAGTGAACATCAAAATTTACCTTGTCTTCCTTACTTAAGTTCTATAGAAAGCAAATGAGATAATGTCTCATTGGCTTATTTTCCTAGGCAACATAAATAATCATTAAGACCCATGCTTATAATGTACATGGAAATTTATGTTCTGCCCTAACATGGCATATATTTATATTCTATCAATTCCTTCTTAAGAACATTCCCAATCTTCCTGCATAAATTAATTTATTGACTGAGGTTCAATATAAATCAATGGAATTGGGATATTATCAAAGTACAAAGAACGCACTGAATTTAGTGCATGAAAAAGCAGGTGTTTCCTATCAAATAAATACTTTAGACATTTAGATTATCTTTTCTTTTGCTCTCCAAAATGAAAGCACAGATCTAAAAGTAAGAAATGCTAACTGCTTTAAATCCTTTGTAAAGTTGTTGAAAATACGGTGATCTGTATCCTCAACAAAAATTAGATAGTTAAAACTTTATGGAGTTTTAAAAGAATTTGATACACATGGCACTTAGAAGTGAGTTAAGCATGTATAGATTTTATATCAACAATTTCCATGCTACTAGTAACTATGTTGTGGGCAGAGGTTTTGTCCTTTGTTTACAGAGACCTTATGTCTATTTCTTAGATGAGAAACTAATGGTGGAAATGCACAAGGAGCCAATAATGTCCTTCTTCGATTTCATTCTGCTTTGATGGTTCATTTCATCTCTCCAATTTATAAAGGAAATTTTGAATCTTACTTCTGTGTTGCAGACTGTATGCCCTCACACCCAACATGGTGCCATTTATGATTTTAATGAGAAACATTTCCAATGCCTTCCTTTAAGTCACAGATATCTAGTTTAAAATAATACTGGTCTCCTGCGGAACAATAACAGAGAAATTTTTTTAACTCTGTTGACAAGTATCTGAATGAGATAATTTAGCCTATCAAATAGTTATCTCATAGTTATATGGTCTACACAGTGCTATAAACTGACCAATCATTTCTGCAAAATAAATTAGTTTTGCTCCTTATCCTTTCTTTACCACCCCATATGGTCAGTTCCAAGATTCTCAATATCAAAGGCATTTATTTTAACAAATAAAAAAGTCTATTGTAAGTTTAATTGTTTACGTTACTGAGTCCGAAGGGAAAGTTCTCACACTGACTTAAAAAATATTCCTTCCCTTTGTCTTTCACCTTTTTGCCTGGAATCCTAAAGTCCTTTTTATCCCTCAGGCTGGGAGCCAGATTTTCACACACCCCAGGTTCCAATTACATGCAAATTCTTATGAGCCTTGAGTCTCTGTGGGCATGTGCATGAAAATATATCCTTCTATGCATTTCTTTCAGTACTTTTTGTTATTAAAATTTATTAGTTTTACTTTTCGTTCAGGTATTAATTTACATAAAGTGAGATACAAATTTTCGGAGTAGGCATTGCGGACGTTCTGCCTTGAAAAGGTAAAAATTTTCAACGGAGCATTCATAGAATACCAAATTTGAAGAAAAAACAACTTCTTTTGAACACTATGGCATGAAGTTATCAAAAGTATATTCCCCTGTAACTCATGACTGATACACAGTATAATTATAGCAGGCTTTAATTAAATAAATATTACATGCTGTGCATAATAAATAACAATATTGACAGTCTGGCAAAATTTTTGTTTGTTTCATTTTTTAATTTTTGAAAATTATTTCTAAATATTTTTGTGGGCACATAATAGGTATATGTAATTATGGGGTACATGAATGTTTTGCTACAGGCATGCAATGTGAAATAAGCACATCATGGAGAATGGAGTTTCCATCCCCTCAAGTATTTATTGAGTTACAAACAATCCAATTACACTCTTTAAGTTATTTAAAACTATACAATTACATTATTATTGGCCATAGTCACTGTATTGTGCTATCAAAAACTTTTTTGGTTTGCAATAAGTACTTTATTAAGAGCCCTCCTACTACATACTGTATTAATCTTGGGTTTTTTTTTTTATTTCTTAATTTTTGATGCTTTAACTTCTATAAGCTCGCACATCCTGGTAGACACTGCCCCTTTTAGGGTTAGCTGATTCCTAGAGATAGCAAACATCTCATCTGGCAATGTGTTTATAATATGCAAGCCAACCAGTCCAAAACCCATACCCCACCACCTCCTTTATCAAGCTCTCAAAGGGCTCTCACATTCAGGCCAGTATTCCCTAGGACCAGGTCCCAGACAACCGGGGGCAGCTCCTACACTCAGAGCGGAAACTATTCAAACTAGCCAGTCCAAAGCCTGCTTACTCTGTCTTAGCTGTTCTTTCTCACAGAAACCACAATGAGGGCTCTTGCTCACATTTTTCCCCTCACTCCCTCTGCCACCTGATTGGCCCTGGGCCACATGCTTCTCCATGTGGCTCAACGTGGAATTCCATGTGACCCTACATGGAATAGCATGCCCCCTCTTCTCAGGAACTATAGGAAACAAACTATTCAAAAGTAGTTATCTCCTATCACTTGGCTTCAGCCCATCTGACTAATAATGAAACCTACCTTTTAAAATGATACCAATAAAATTTACATTAACTTTTTTTTTGTAGGCCAAAATGTACCTTTTCACAGTACAAACTCAAGACTAGACATGCCTTTCTACAGCACAAATTCAAGCTCTGTTCCTGGGGAAAAAATGATGCTCAACGTTATGTTTGAGAATTATTTTGAGAGACAGAAAGATTGAATTCATCTCCATAATATATTAATTTTTTCCTCAATGTACTTTCTTGTTTATCACATAGACTTTTCTTAAAATGCTTTGGTCTCTTCTTTAAGGAATTTATCTAGGGAGATTTTGTTTATGTAAATTATTTTGATGACCTGTCCCTCTCCTTCACTGAGCAATATTTTTATGGTATACATTCTTTTTCTTCCTATATTTTAATTTCTCATCTCTTTTGGCTGGTGAGGGTGGGGTAACTGTGCTCAACCATGCTAGTTCTTTTCTGATTGGTTTTCACCAGATCATTTCTCATCCATATTCTCATAGAGGCATCCATAACAAATTTGGATATGCTCTGTTACCATGTCAAATGCACTCTCATCAAAATTGTTACGTATTCTGTCTTTGGGGTATGTCTCCCTTCAGTTTTAGCATCCATGACAGCAGTGTTCTCAGAGCAAATTTCTGTATATTAACTTTGTCCTGGCAACTGTTATCTACCTTCCCACTCTCCTAGGGCAAGCAGCCCCAGCCTCTTAGATTATAAAATAAGTTGTAGATTATAAAGTGTGCTGTGGTGCAGTTTTCCTTCAGCAGCATCTCTTCTTCCATTCTGAGGTGTTGATCTCTACAGAGACATTTCCCATCTCATCTATAGCCTAGTCACATTCCTGTATCCCATTTCTCTGAAAGAAACAAAAAATAGACATCCTGAATTCAGTCACAGGATGTCAAGGGAATCTTAAGCCTCCTGATATCTGAAAGAGACTGTTTTGGTTCCCCACATACTCACTTCTCTCTAAGCAAATTTCACAATATTCAACACATCTTCCTCATTTATAGTGTTGGGATGTGTTCGTTTTCCTACTTCCATGAAAATGTTTTTTCCTCTATTTTCTCTTCTTTAGCTTTTTCCCCCATTGGATTTTGAGGCAGAGGAAAGGAGGAAATTGCCTATTCTCTATTTTCTTTAACCTGAGGACACTGGCATATCTTTTTTCTTTAATTAGGCAAAGGAAATATGTAAAAGCAATTATAGCAAGATCCATATTCAAAAGCTGCAGTTAATATTAGTGTGTGTTTCATAATATACTACAAAGCTATAGAAACCAAAACAGCATGGTACTGGCATAAAAACAGACATGTAGACCAACGGAACAGAATAGAAAGCCCAGAAATAAATCCATGCATTTACAGCCACCTGATTTTTGTTTGTTTGTTTGTTTGAGACAGAGTGTCCCTCTGTCACCCAGGCTGGAGTGCAGTGGCTCGATCTCTGCTCACTGCAACTTCCACCTCCCCGGTTCAAGCAATTCTCCTGCCTCAGCTTCCTGAGTAGCTGGGATAACAGGTGCATGCCACCACGCCCAGCTAATTTTTTTTTTTTTTTGTATTTTTAGTAGAGACAGGGTTTCAGCATGTTGGTCGGGCTGGTCTCGAACTCCTGACCTTGTGATCCACCCACCTTGGCCTTGCAAAGTGCTGGGATTACAGGCACGAGCCACCACACCCAGCCTACAGCCACCTGATTTTTCAACAGAGACATTAATAACATACCACCCAGAAAGACAGTCTCTTCAATAAAGGGTGTTTGGAAAATTGGATTTCCAAATGCAGAAGAATGAAATTAGACCCTTATCCCATACCGTATACAAAAATCAACTCAAAGTGGATTAACACTTAAATGTAAGACCCAAAGCTATGAAACTACAATAAATCATAGGGGGAAAGCTACATGACATTGGTCTGGAGAGTGACTTCTTGGATGACTCCAAAAGTATAGGTAACAAAATGAAAAATAGATAAATGGGATTACATCAAATCAAAAAGCTTCTGTACAACAAAGGAGACAATCAACAAAGTGAAGAAACAATCTATAGAACAGAAGAAAATATTTGCAAACTAAATGTACATGTGATAAGGGGTTAATATCAAAAATCCATAAAGAACTCAAAGAACTTAATAATAAGAAAACAAATAACCCAATTAAAAAATAGACAAAGGAACTGAATGGATTTTTTTCCAAAAGAAGGCATACAAATGGTCAATAGGTACTTACATGCAAATATGCTCAACATCAGTAGTGATCAAAGAAATGCAAATTAAAACCACAATGAGACTTCACCTCACACCTGTTAGAATGGCTATTATCAAATACATAAATGATAAGTGTTGACAAAAATATGGAGAAAAGAGAACACTTGCACACTGCTGGTGGGAATGTCTTCATCAATTAGTACTGCCATTATGGAAAGCAATATGGAGTTTCTTCAAAAAAATTAAAAATAGAATTGCCATATTATCCAACAATCTCACTACTGGGTATATAGGTTATATCTAAAGGAAATAAAATCAGTATGTCAAAGAGACATCTGCACTCCCATGTTCATTGCAGCATTATTCACAAGAGCCGAGATACAGAATAAACCTAAGTGTCTCCCAGTGGATGAATGGATAAAGAAAATATGGAATATATGTGTGTAATGGAATACTATTCAGCCATAAAGAATGAAATCCTGTTATTTGTGACAACATAGCTGAATCTGTAAGCCATTAGGTAAAATGAAATAAGCAGGCACAGAAAGACAAATACCACATAATGTCACACCTATGTGAAACCTAAAAAAGTTGATCTCATAGAAGTTGAGGGCAGGATGTGGTTACCAGGGCCTGAGGATAGAGAGGTGAGTTGGGGACACGTGGGTCAAGGTTACAAAATTTCAGTTAAATAGGAGGAATAGGTTCAAGAAATCTATTATACACCAAGGCGACTTTAGTTGATAATATATTCTTGAAAAATGCTAAGATAGTGGGTGTAAATTATTTTCACCACAAAAATGACAATTATGTGAGGTAATGCACATGCTAATTAGCAAGATTTAGTCATTCCACCATGTATATACGTTTCAAAACATCATGTTGTACACAGCAAATACATACAATTTATCTCTGATTAAAAAAAATTAGTCAGTGAATGAGTAAGTATTCTAAAAGATGACACCTACATGAGATAAAATAATAAAATTTCTTTATGCATGCAGTATGAATTTAGTGTTTTTTATTTTATTCGATTTTCACAATCACCTTGTGAATCAGGCAAAGCAGGAGTTCCTATCTGCATATCATAAATGAGTGAACCAAGCCTGAAAGCAAATATATATCTTGCTCTAGTGAGGATTAGAATACAAATAATTCACATTCCAGTGTCATTTCTTCTCAATATCTCTGCTTCCTAAAATTTACACTATGCACTGAATGCAGGAGGGGATATATTATTAACAGTTATTTGACCTCTAAGGGAAATTAAAAAGCAGAATCATTGTATCTCACTCAGGATTCTCCTGGATAAAATTGACAAAATCCCACTTCAAACCAGCTGAAGACAGATGTGGAAGGCTGAACAATGCTCCCCTAAGTATGTCCTTGTTCTTCAAATCTCTGGAACCTGTCATGGCAAAAGGGACTTTGAAACCATGATTAAGTTAAGGATCGTGACGAAATTATTCTGGATTAAATGAGTGAACCCAAGATAATCAAAATGGTCATATCATAAGAAGAATGTAGGAGGGTCAGAGTCAGGGAGGGTAATACAACATTGGAAGCAAAGAGAGAGAGAAATTTGAAGATGCTAAATGACTAATTTTGAAGGTGGAGGAAGGGTCCATGAGCCCGAATCTCCAGAAACTAGAAAAGACAAGGAAATGGATTTTCCCTTAGACCCTCCAGAATGAACACAGTTCTGCTGGCACTTTGACTTCAGCCATGTAACACCAATTTCAGACTTCCTACCTCCAGAACTGTAAGATAAACTTATGCTGTATTAAGCCACTAAGTTTGTGACAATGGGTTACAGCAGCTATAGGGAAATAATATGGCAGGTAATTTACTGGTGCATATGGCTGGAAAACTCAAGGCCTAGATAACACATGGGATATGGCTAAATTTCTTGAATCTTTAAACCTCTCTTTCATTCTCAAGGCCATCTCTGTGCAGCTGGGAGATGTTCCTGGCACTTTCCTGCTCCCATCTTCCCATGTCAGTCTCCTTAAGTTCTGCAAATGGCTCTTCTTGTGCCCATCCACATATGGACCAATGTGTTCAGGGGTGGCATGCCATGATTTGCACAGTTGACATCAGGGGCCCATGGGGCCAGCCCATGTGATGGACAGTCCCACAAATATCACATAAGTGTTCCCAAAGGGAAAAAAAACTCCAGCAGACAAAACTGTAACTACATTTTATCCTTGCCTTCTTAGCATCTACATACACACACCACACAAAGACACACCATTCTCCTGTATATAACATTAAAAATAATCCTGAATCCTGAAGTTGAATCATGCAACTTCCCCACATGCATCTAAAAGCTACTAATCCTGCTGAGGTCTGGCCCATGCACTGTCCCAGGACTCTGTCCAAGACCTTGGGTGACGCACATTTTTTTCTATGAGATCCACCAGTAGCTCCTCATTGTTTAGTTCCCTATAGCCAAATGATTACCTTATTGATACCCCGCCCAACACATCTAATATATAATGACAATGGGACAACAGATAAACCATGATGAACTCTCCCATTTTTAATGGGAAGAAAGGAAAGACGGTGAAGTTTGTTCACTTTTATTGCTTATGACGCATTCTGGGGATAGTGAGTACCTGAGTACTCAGAGTCCAGCCCACTCTGGCCCTTCTCCTGGGGAAGACGGCTCTTGGCCCCTGTTCCATCTGATCATACATCAGAGGAACTGAGCTGCGTCATTTTTGCCTTTCACATCTTGTTAAAATGGCATAATAGGCAAGGGGAGGGCATTAGAACAAGATGCATCCCAGACTGCCTTTTTCCAAAATGTTTTTTTTTAAATAATAAAAATTCCTTTGTTAATTTGCAGTGCTTCACATTCAAAGTCTATAAGCCAAACCCTAGAATTTGCATCCAGATTTTTCTACCTGTCAGCTCTGCCTGTTCTCTGGAACCTCAGAATGAGCTGCTTTGATGACATGTGCTCTTTTGTTTCCAAGCTGCATCTAGTAGTCAGCCTTTGCCAAATGGGTAACTGTTGCTTTTGTTGTATAGTAAGTCCACATAGGGAGCTACAGCAGAGGAGCCCAGGGAATCAGGCCTTGATAAAATGTTGCCTTCAAAGTTTGTGTGTAATCTTCTTCCTTTTGTTAAGGTAATGATCTCTCCCTTCGCATTTTTCTCATGAATAGGCATTTAACTTGAAGAAAAATAAAATTACTGAATTCTACCTGTGCTCTTTCAATTAAAGATTGAACCATTTCCAAAGCTGCCTTATCTTACCTTAGTAATTTATATAATATGGTTATCTATAACTTGTTATTTCTTAGGCTGAGAAAGTATCAAATTTTACTGAACATTGCTTTGCTGTAATATAGATTTTCCTTTCTTGCACTTGTGATAAAGCAAGGCCAGCAACGATGGGTGGGCAAGTTTATAACCACACATACTAACATGTCCTCAGCAGCCAACATCATAGCAACCAGCTGTGCCTGTTTTTATCAATTGTCTTTAAAGATGAGTCAGTTAAGAGAATTTTCAAGAATGGCGTAATAGAGCATAACAAAAGTAGTTTATTTAAAGGAAACTTAGGTTGAAGTCACACAGGGGCTCCTTTAAGCAGTGCTAGTGACCCACTTCCTTAGTGAATGCCTAGAAATAATGAGAAACATGCATTGGCAGATGACAGTAGCTTCATAAGACAACAAACTATAACATATCTGAAGCATTTTGACACTGTTTTTTATCTATCAATACATATTGTTAAATATCTATTCACATACCTCAATAATGTGTATGTTAAAATTTTATGCAAATGACCCTTATAAAATTTCATGGTGATGTGTATGTTTCATATTAGAAAGATGCATTATTTATACTGAATATATTAGGCTCATTTTTTGAAACTCCATTAAAACTTTATTAAAACAGGTAGGTTTTTTTAGAGTTATTGTACATTTGGTTGTCCTATTTTTAGGTCTGCCCCACTCTTTTTCTTGCATTGTGTATTGGGATCAATTTCAGATTCTAGAAGGAATAAAGATGGAACTATTCTGCGGTTGTTAGGAATCTGTGCTAATGATATCCATACTTACTTTTTGCATTTATCACACTGCTTCTACTAGGAACACTTACTTGTCCTTCATATTTTTGAGTGGAAGACAGTAAAATTAAAACAAAGGAGCAGCCAGGCATGGTGGCTCACGCCTGTAATCCCAACACTTTGGGAGGCCAAGGCGTGTGGATCACCTGAGGTTAGGAGTTCAAGACCAGCCTGGCCAACATGTTGAAGCCCCCTCTCTACAAAAAATACAAAAATTAGCTGGCGCAGTGACAAGTGCCTGTAATCCCAGCTACTCAGGAGTCTGAGGCAGGAGAATCGCTTGAACCCGGGAGGTGCAAGTTGCAGTGAGCCACTGCACTCTAGCCTGGGCAACAAGAGTAAAACTCCATCTCAAAAAAAAAGGAAAAAAAAGGAGCAATTCAATAAAATGATAGAAAAAAATTGGTGTGTGTGTGTGTGTGTTCTCACGTGCATGCATACACACACCGGACAATCAAAACACATTTTTTTTTAGTTCCATGCATGTGTTCTTTAAGTGTTCACATTATTTACCAAAGTGTTTAATAATGAAGAATATATTGCAATGAGACTATTCCCAGAGAATGGAATTGTCAGATGCTGTTTTTATTCCATTAATATATTTCATCCACTGTATGTTGTGGATCCAGGGCACTCAGGCCCATTTTATGATCTGTGACAAAATGTAATAGAAGTTCTGGCCACCAACCAGGTAAAGTGCCTCCAACCAGTATCAGCAAGTACAGATTTTTGGATTTCAAGATGTTAATCATTTGAGTTCTATCCGAAGATACAAACCTATTAATTGTTCCTTGAGTTTGGGTTGCTAACATAAATTAACTCAGAAAATTTAGAAAGGTTATGAAAATGTGATTCTCTTATGCCCTGTGTTAAAGAAACAATGTTTCCGTTTTCATGCTCCTGACACCCTCAGGGCCTCAACACTTGCCCAGAAAATATTTTGGACCACAGAGTTACTTGTGACAGCCCTATGGGATATATCCCTCATCCTCAGGATCTTTTCCTATTACCATCATCAACATGTGATTTTGAGAAAAAGGTACTTTACTCCTTTTAAGCCATTACTATATGAGAAAAAAAGTATTTGGCTCAGAATATATTTTGTGTGTCAGCCTAGCATACAAAAACCGTTCATTTGTAGGATTTAGGCCTTGGGGATTTTACTATTTGCCCCATGAAGGACCCTAGTGAGTCCCCACTGCTTCTGTCATGAGACACAGACCTCCCCTAGCTCAGGAACAAAGAGAGCAAATTGAGAATGTAGCCACAAAAGTCACAATAGCACGCAATTGAGTTTTCTTCCCTGGTGTAATAAAATAGAGCATTGAAAGTGGGAGATGTTTAGAGGAAAGAACAGACTGAAACATTTTGCATCCAGGCAAATTATGTTTTCTTTTCACCGGCGTCTCCAGAGTCTATCCCTACAAATGAAGAAGGCAACATTTACTTGAAATAGTGCATTGTTTCTGAGTCTCTGCAGCGGAATTATATTATAAAATGCTCTGACCAGTTCCATAGGCCATAAATTCTTAGTAAGCACTCCTAGTGTTTAAGATGGTGAGGTTGTCTGCAAGAAAAGAGCACAGAAGGCAGGCTAGGTCCTCTTTGCATATGGGGCCCCGTTCTGTACTCAGAAAGTAAAACTATTACAGAGGCCTTTTTTTTTTTTTTAATTCAAGATAGTGTCTCGCTCTGTCACCCAGACTGCAGTGCAGTGGCACAATCATAGCTCACTGCAGCCTGGACCTCCCAGGCTCAAATGATCCTTCCACCTCAGCCTTCTGAGTAACTAGGACTATAGGTAGGCACACTATCATGTCCGGCTAACATTTTTAATTTTTTGTAGACACGGGGGTTTGGCTATGTTGCCCATGTTGGTCTTGAACTCCTGGCCTCAAGCAAACCTCTCACCTTGGCCTCCCAAAGTGCTGGGAGTACAGGCGTGAGCCACTGCCCCCAGCCCTATCAGCTTTTATACAAGGAAGATGTGCTCTGTTTGCTGTTAATTACCAAAGGAAGAGCTGATAGAGATGAACGATTAAAAAGTACTCACCCACAGCCATAGAGATAGAACTGATTTCCAAGTAGTACACTGATAAAAAGGAGGAAATCCAAGAATGGAAGTGGAAGCTGGGGGCCCCAGTGAGGGAATAGGGGAGGGAAAAATCACAGCTTGCTTTTGTGGAGTGCTAATTCTATGCACCAACCATAGCCTTGTATGTGTGAAATCATTAAAGCCTCATAACAACATGGATCTTTTTTTTTTTTTTTCAGACGGAGTCTTGCTCTGTTGCCTGGCCAGAGTGCAGTGGCATGATCTTGGCTCACTGCAACCTCTGCCTCCTGGGTTCAAGCAATTCCTCTACCTCAGCCTCCCAAGTAGCTGGGGCTACAGGTGCATGTCACCACGCCCAGCTAATTTTTTTTTATTTTAGTAGAGACAGGGTTTCACCATGTTGGTCAGGATGGTATCAATCTCCTGACCTCGTGATCCACCCACTTCAGCCTCCCAAAGTGCTGGGATTACAGGCGTGAGCCACCACGCCCAGCCAGAACAGAGTGTTAAGTAATTTACTTAAGGCTACAAAGAGTGACTTGTGTAGACTGGATCTGAATTCAGGTAACCTGATGCTGAAGCACCAAATCCTGACATCTACACTATCCTCTCTCTGCTTCTGTAATAGGAGAGATGGTGTGAGGCTCTGCTATCTTGGCTTAGGAAATAGAGAGTTTCTTTTTATCTACAAACAATTTAGATGAGGGCTAGGAAGAAAGGTTTTCCCAGGACTGTGTCCCAGTTAAATGTGCCATGACCCAGCAGCAGATAAAACAAGGACCAGAAGCGTGCCTGAGGAATTATTTGATGCCATTTCTGATTAGCAATTAACAGTGGCAAATATTAAAAAGGGAACATTGGCTTCACTCCCTGGGATCTGGGCACAGTTTCTTGTAGCATATGTTTTTCACATTTGCAGCCCTAAAACAGTTCTTTAAAAACATTGCACTATAGTCCAAATCTAGGTATCCTATAAATGAAATGATATTTAATGATTTATTCATTTGGGAAATAATTTCTGAGACTCTGCAATGAACAAGACATTTTTTAGGTCTTGAAATAGGTTGACTTCAAGGGAAGACACATCAAATGAATACAGGAAAAAGTGAATTGAGAAAGGAAAATTTTGATTTTTTTTTTAAATTTGTGACTGATTTTTGTATGGTGGTTTAAAAAACTGTTGCTGAAAAATTTCAATAGTATTAAAATTGAAATCTAGGATAAACATTTTCTCTTAGAGTTTTTAAAAAGGGAAATCAATTCAATCTACATGAAAACAACTACCATGTCAAATACCTTTTGAAAAATATCACCCTTCTCAGCCTCTAAACGTATCTATTTGAGCACACTCCAAAATGACATCAAGTTTTCATATTTCTCATATACTTCTGTGAAAGTTAACTTAGATTTGATTTCTCTAGTGATAAAGTATTATTCTTAAGTGTAGTGGCTTTCCCCTTCACATATATATTTTTAGATCTAGAGAAAGCAGGCATTCAATAAATGTGTAATAAGTAAGGTAGACTGATTAATGGAAAGCAACACTGTGGATAATGTTATACCACAAATGCTCTGTGTAAACTTGCAAAATTTTGCTAAGGATGTACAAGCTACTGTGAAGGATAGCACTTTCAGATTCCTCATGGGATGAAATGAAATTGAACTGATTTTGGTACCATCTGAATATGTATATTCTAGAGAACCCTTCAGTAAAGGAAGTAGAGTAGTATTTCTCCATTGCTAGTCATATCATAGCTACAGGGCAAATATTAGCTAAAATTTTTGCAGAAATATTATTAAACATATTGACAATAATGTTTGTATTTTAAAGGTGACTGTGGGTAGCAAACACATACGTACTATATCAGTTCTCTATCCCCAAAAGTAATAGTTTTAAATAAGAATTATTTGCATTCTATTAATAGCTTATATGTTTGTGGATTGACTGGGTGGTAAAGGTATCATCTCACCTAGACTGGACTGGGCTCTGCAAATCTTGGCCGGCTTGCCAGTGTGTGGCTCAGGTGGAGGAGTGGGGATGAACAGTTTTGCTCCTTGTGTTTTTCATCTTTTTCCTGGAGCCAGTGGCCTCACCTGGACACATTCTCCTCGAGGCAGTGTCAGAGGCACAAGAAGGAAAGCAGAAATATATTCAGACATATTGTATGTGCTTTCCCAGGTTTGGACAGGCACAGTGACCCCCAGCTATTTCTCTTGGTTCCATGGTAGAACTCAGAGTCAAAGGGTGGGAAAATAGATTCTACTCCTTATATGGGAGAAATTTCAATGTCCCTCAACTAAATGATGTAGATACTGGGACAAGCGAGGAAGTGGACCCATGAATACTCATTCTGGGTGCTCATGTTTCATCAAAATGCACGCTCATTTCCACTCTTATTTCTAAAACAACAAGAAAAACAAGAAAATAATCTTCCTATCAATTGGATAGGTGAATTCTGCAGATTTTATGGACAATTAAGTCTTGAAATGAAGATTTAGGAGTACAAAATTATTTGTTTGCTTTTTTTTTTTCATTTCTGCTACTGGATAAAGAAAGACATTCATCTTAAACTTTATTCAAAGATGGTTTCAAAATCCTTTTATCTCTAGCAATATGGGATGTATTTTGCAAAAGAAAATGTTAAAAGAGCACAAAAGATCTAACTAAAAGGTGTTATTATCAGACTTGAAAGAAATCAGTTGCTTGAATTTTACTAGAAAGAGATGCAAATCGTTTGGTTGTAATTTAATCAAGAATGTGAATTAATATTTCTATAGCAATATGGATTTATGTTTTAAATATCTAATAGCTAAATATTTCCTAAGATTCAGTCTATGCATAATTCACTTCCCTTTCAAACAAAAAACAATAAATAGTCAGCAGGAAAAACTGTAATAAAGAAAGCCAAATAAACTTGGCCCAATGTAATATTGCTTTGACTTACTTAATTGATTATTTTTTTAACATTCTGTTTGTCTATAGCAGCTTAGGGCTCTTAGTGAACCATTTTAGATAAGAGTCCCTAAGGCAGCTCAATATGAAAAAGCACAGGTGGCCATTCTCTGAGCTATCTATCGAAAGTGGCTTCAAGCCCATATTAGATAACATCACTCCATATCTAGGACTTTGGGCTTAAACAAGCCAGACAAGTCAGATAAAAATGGACACACAGTCCCCAGCAATTTCTGAGTTGAAATGACAATTAGGAGCAGACTTCTTAAATGACCCCAGCATGTCAAAGACTAAACCTAATACTATGATTTATCATGCGACAGCAACTAGTGTCATAAAATATATCAGAGTTATTCTTTTAATGACTAAATTTGTAAGTTCTAGTGGCCCTAAAATGTAATTCACACATAAACAGTCATTATTATTAAAAGTTGTGTTGAGCATTTGTTTTGTGGCAAACTTTGTGTTTCATATTGGGAATGCAGAATGAAACATGTGTGATCTCTATTTCCTACTTGCTCAAACAGGATTGAATTAGCAATCTCTTAAAACATAAGTACATAGTCCCAAGACCATGTTTCCAAGACTATTTTAAGTTCTCAATTGCAGAGACAAGTTTCACTTGTGCTTCTGCACAGACTGACAATTTATAGGAAGCAATTGCAATGTGCGTTGGACACATCTTGGGCAGCTCTTCAGATCCTCTAGGCTTCAACTGTCTTCTATTCCAGCTGCTGCGGTTGACAACCAGCTCTGCATGAACTCTGGCTGGCTTCTTGCAGACATTCTCTGACAGCACCCCTCCTTCAGCACAGGCCTTCCTTGCTGACTTCCCCAGGAGAACCAATGGGATGCATATGTCCATACGTGCATCACTAGAAGTGCAAATCTCCATGGGATAGGTGACCTTTGAACAATCAGAGATAGGACCCACTGAATGAATTTTCCCCCTTTACTCAAGTTGGCTGCAAGGCACTTTCTTCAGCTTCTTGGGGGCTTGTTTCCATGGCTCTAGCAAACAGTCACACTCAACAAACAGCAGTGTCAAATGCACCTTCACGTTAAGTCTTCCTCCTTTCCTACATCCCTCCCTTCTTGCTCACTCATGCATCCTTTGCTAATAGCACCTATTCACTCTGCCTCAGGCTTTGCTTTCTGGGAAACTCAGAATCGGACACAGTCAGAGCACAATTTGTCATGGGGTCATGTGAGAACATGGAATGAGTCAGAAGTGAAAGAGAAGAAAATAAGCAAGAAATGAAATTTCTGCTATGGAAGGCAAAAGGAAATACTGGAAAAAGGCAACTTAAAGTCCAGCTAAAGAACTAGAGAGGATATATTTTAATCACTCTGGGTAAGGATAACACTCTGAAGAGCCAGTCATCTTACTTTGAGGTTTCTTCCATTGTAAATCTCTTTTACTGAAAAGCTCTTGTAAAACAAAACTCATTAGAGAGTCAAGGTAATGGTTCTCTTCCAAAACGTCTGCTGTTCACTTTTATTACAGTGTTACTGCCAGCAATACAGAGCACACTGCGTCACTCCAATAGCAAATGGGTGGGTCCGTGTCTTTCCTCGGAGATAAATGAAGCAACAATGTGGTAAAAAGTGCTTGGTTTCAAGAGGTGAACAGTTGGATCTTTAATTACAAAGGACTGAAATCCATTACAACACGACGGGGAGTGTGTTTAATTTGCAGAGGCAGAGAGAAATTGCTGTTTTTTGTGACTTAAATGACCTTAACACAAAAACCCAACAGTCCCCACTTCTGAAGGGCAATAATGTACAGCCTCTACCCTAAACATGTAGACAGAACCAGAGACTAGGAATTGCTTTATCTTTAAAACGGAAGCAAGAATGACACAGAGTTAAGCTTATGATTGTCTGCCTGATTTACTATCATGAGCTCTGCTTTATAGTTTAGTGAAGTATTCAAACCTTTGACTCATTTGTAGCAATAGAGCGGTATTAGAAAGCAAGTGAGTATTGTGTGGAATTTGTGGTTTTAAACTTTACTTTCCTTTGGAGATACACCACATCTCTGAATTTTTCCAAGGACAGTGATACTCTTTTATCTTATTCAAGTGGTTTTCAGAATCCCCTACCCTATTAACAACACAAAGAATGCCCTGAAAACATTGAACTCTCTTTGCTGCAAGTTCTGAATATGTCACTTTCACTGAAGTCTCTGATAAATGGTATTAAAGCTTTTGCCTCAGCAAGGTCTTGTTCCTCAGCTGAACAAATAGGAAAACACTCTTCTTCATGAGCTCCCTAGTATTCAAAAACACCATTAACTAATTCTAAAGGATCCAAAATGGCACTCATTTTGCGTTGTAATGTTTGGTGTTATGATATCATTGAAGGGTAGGAACGACCATTTCTAACTCTTAATGTGTCCTCCCACATGGAAAGTGGAGGGACCTCAATTACTTTAACACTCAATCCTGTGTCAATTCCTCATTCTCTTTCCCCCAAGAAAAGAGAAATGACAAGACTGATCAGGAGAAGGTGCCAAGAGAAATGGTCTTGCAGGGCTCAACTCCTCTTGCCTTCATTCACCTGGGTGCAGACTGCTCAGGGAGAGTACCCATCTTACACTAGTAGAACTCACTGGAAATTTAATGTTAAAGAAGGCATGGGTTCTCCTTGAATCCATTGAAAATGACGTTTTAAATTCTCCATCTGCTGAGGGTTTTCCCTAGAATGATCTCTCTTTTCTTTCAAGGAAAATTTGATCTAAAAACTACTTTTAATTAGGGGACTATAAAGCATATTTTTGTTAAACACCTTCAATGGCATTACTGATATCTACGTACCTTTTTTAACTTACAATTTTAAATAAAGTTAGCATAGCAAAAGTCCATAGAAATTTACATTTGTATTCCAAAACAGAGACAAAGACCACACACACACAAAACCATAGATAAGTGTTTATAGCAGCTTTACTTACAATACCAGAAGACTGGAAACAAACCAGATGGTTTTCAACAGGTGAATGGTTTTGAGAAAACTATGGTACATTTATACCATGGAATACTACCCAGCAATAAAAGGGAATGAATTACTAATTCACAGAACGACATGAATAAATTCTAAGGGAAATGTGCCAATCTCAAGGTTACATATTATATGATTCTGTCTATTTAACCTTCTTCTTGATATAACAAAATCACAGAGATGGATAATATATTAGGACTTGCCAGGGGTTCAAAATGGGAGTGCAGGGTGGAATCAGGTGGATGTAGTTATAAAAGGCTAACATGAGGGATGCTTGGTAATGCAACTGTTCTGTATCTTGACCTACACATGTGGATACACCAAACTGCACATGTGATAAAAACTAAATACCCATACAAGTATATGTAAAAATGGGCAATTCTAAATAAAATTGGTAGATTGCATCAATGACATTTTCCCAATTGTGATATTGCACTATGGTTTTGCAACATGGTAACCACTGGCAAAACTGAGTAAAGTATACATGGGGCATTATATTTTTACAACTGCATATAAATCTATAATTATCTCAAAATATAAGTTTAGTTAAAAAGAAGAAACACATAAAGTATGTTTTATTTTCTCATCAGACTGATTCATATCATGATCAGTAATCAATTTTGTAACCATAGAACAAGAGGTTTGTAAAAGTGAAGGAAAGACAGTACATTCAGTTCCACAGATAAAGCTCTATGTTGTGCAGTATAATACTTTACATATATCCAATTCTGTTTTTTTTAATAAATCCTGAGAGATAGTAGCTGAGCTTTTTAAAAACCTTTCACTGAGCAGTTTGTAACTCTGATTCTCAGGCCATTTCTTTGTTTTTATTTTATTTGAAATCAGTTAAAGAAAGTCACTTACATGATTTTACTATAGGAGTGATGATAGCTTTTTTTTTTTCATCATTTACCCTTGCTTGAAGTTAAAGATGGCAAAAGGAAAGGTAGGATTCTTTCTTTACCCTATTAAATTGATCTTTCATTCAAATTATTAGGGAAGAATTAAGTGTACCCTTCATGACACTGTCAAGACATATGCACTTTCTTTTATTTCAGAAAATGTTAGAAAGAGAGAAACCAGTCAGTCTAAGCCCATTATTTAGCTCATGTATCTACCTTGAGCCTTGAGACTAGAGACCCAAGTTATTTTAACTACAAGAATGTGAGTTGATTTTAAGAAGATTATTTTAACTTTTAGTGCCCAAAATCCTGTTTCTGAAACTCAAGTAAACACAGACTTTTATCTCAAATAGCCAGTCATGATTATGTACTATATACCGAGTCTCTAATATTCAAAATAATCATTCAATTAGTGCATCCTACTTCTTTTATCTAGTCCTGATAACTATATGACTGTATCTCTAATTAACTAGAAGGAGGAACAATAGTAAGCCCAGGTCAATTATCATGATTTATGTACTTTGATTAGTGCATGGGAATAGAAACTCTGCTAACAACATTCTCTATGATCTCATTTCAAATAATAACAGAGCCAAGCAAGAGATAATCTAGACAACATTCTAAGCCGAAAAATAAACCTATTAGAAATTTAGGAATAAGACGCAACGTTCTAATCTCAGTAGGCAATGTAAGTGATCAACATGTTAAAAAGATCATTTAATTTTACTTTCCATTTAACTCTAATTAAAATTATCTTTCTCTGGAAATAAAATATTAATAAAAACAGAAAAATTGAGGGGAAAATGTCATATACATATCATTTTGGGGACGTGGAAAGAGGAGATACACTATTTGCTTGCCAATACCGATATTATCCTCATCGCTGTGGTAAAACCCTACCTACACTCTTTGCCCAGAAGTTCTTTTCTTTTTCAGTTGCTAAATTCTTTTTGTGTTTAATATTCCTGTCTTCCTGAAATTGATATGGCTCCAACCTGCTGCCTTGGCCGTTTCCAGTGTTGTTCTTGGAATTTCTATCTTATTTATCTTTGCCAATTTCCTTTGGGTTGTTGCTTGTTTTACCTACCAGTCAATCCAGATGGAACATCAACCTGTAGGACCCCCTCCCTCTTTATCAGCTAGCAGATTAATCTGCAAACCTCATTTCAAAAGCAATGATTTACACAATCTGAGAGATGTCTGAGATAGACACAAAGATAAATAGTTCAAAATCATAAACTAATTGGTCTCATTCAATCCTTAATTTTGGCAAAAGTATTTCCACCTTGGTTGCTTTTAACAAGTTTAACTGAGGTTGCTATAGATATAGGTGTGCATCCAATATGGTAGTCACATGGCTATTAAGAACTTAAAATGTGGCTAGTCCAAATTAACATGTGCTTTAAATGTAAAACCCATGCTAGATTTCAAAGACTTCATATGAGAAAGTTTCTAGCATATCTCATTAACATTAATAATTTCTTATATTCCTTGTAATCTGAAATAATAATAGATATCTATATAAAATCTCCATTACTGGATATTTGGACATAGCTCTAATTCATCTTTTTCCTAGCAAGATTCCTCTTCCCACTAAGAAACATGTTGCAGGGTTGCCCATTAGAGTTAGCGCCAAAATTCTTCACCCTTTAGCTGGATTTCTTTATTTCTGGCTCTGTTAAAATAACCAGCCAATGGTGCTAGCCTCACTTAAAATCAAAATTACCAAATATTTCAAGGTAAAAAACATTTCTGAGAGTACAGAATATACATTTCTTCCAGTAATAATTTTCTTAGTGTAAAAACCAGCTGATTCAGCAATACAGCTATCCAGCCCAACCAAGAAAACACATTTCTTTTTATTACCAAATATAACATTAAAAGGTTTTAAATTGATATTGAACTTAGAGACAGGTTGAAATAGTAGACAAATTTATATTTTACTTCTCTTTATCGGTTTTAAAATGAGTTTAATTGTAGAATTTCTATTACTTACACAAATTTCTTTTTCCTTAAATTTTAAGATCTATTATACGATATTTGATACATATGAAAATACAAGCCACAATATGGAAGTTATCAAGTATAATAATAACCAACCAGTTATGACCCCAACACGCACTCCAAGAAGTAGGCTATTGACAATATTATTGCATCAACTGTATGCTTCTTCATTTTCCAATCCCCTGATTCCCCTAAGAGGTAACCAGTGTCTATAATTTTGTCATTCTCTTGATTCTTTTCTCAACACATGTTTCATACAGGTGCTTGTACTTAAATAGTATCTTGTTCAATTATGTGTGTATTTGATATTTAATAGCCTTATGTGATTTTTTAAAACTTCAAATAATTTTTAATATCAGAACAATCTTGTATGCCTTCAAATGTACCTCACTTGGTCATGAAACAGCTTTTTTTTATGCATTTCTGGATTGATATACCTCTGATTTGGTCCACAGAGCTAAAGGGGTAAAGAGGCTTATTAAAAGAAGGATCAAAAAAAAAGAACAAAATAAGCTTTAAGAACAATCTTTTAGTTTTTTTTTAATCTTTGTAAATGGCAGAATTGTATGTTGCTTCTATAGCAAGCGAGTGGGTATGGATTTTTGTGTCTCAATTTCATTCAGTTCTTCTCTAATTTTAGTTATTTATTTTCTTCTGCTAGTTTTGGGAATGGTTCTTTCTTTTTCTTCTAGTTCCTTTAGGAACAAAGACAGATTGTTAATTTGAGAACTGTCTCGATTCTTGATGAAGTTGTTTAGCAGTATAAACTTTCCTCTTAACACTGCTTTAGCTGCATTCCAGAGATTTTGGTAAGTTGTGTCTCTATTTTCATTAATTTAAAAGAATTTTTTGAAACGTGCACTAATTTTGATGTTTTCCTAGTAGTTATAGAGGAGTAATTTAATTCCCATGTATTTGTGTAGTTTTGAAAGACCTACTTTACATCAATTTCTATTTTTATTGCACTGTGGTCCAAGAGAATGCTTGATATGATTTTGATTTTTTTAATTTGAGACTTATTTGATGACCCAACCTGTAGTCAATCTTAGAATATGCTCTGTGTGCAGATGAGAATGTATATGGTTGTTGGGTGAAGTGTTCTGTAGATGTCTCTTATGTCATAATGGTCAAGTGTCGAGCTTAAGTCTAGAGTTTCTGTGTTAGTTTGTTGTTGTTGTTATTGTTGTTGTTGTTTTGAGGCTGGAGTGCAGTGGAGTGATCTCAGCTCACTGCAACCTCCACCTCCCGGGTTCAAGTGATTCTCCTGTCTCAGTCTCCCGAGTAGCTGGGACTACAGGTGCATGCCACCATACCTGACTAATTTTTTTTTCTATTTTTAGTACAGACGGAGTTTCACCGTGTTAGCCAGGATGGTCTTGATCTCCTGACCTCCTAATCCACCCACCTCGGCCTCCCAAAGTGCTAGGATTAGAGGAGTGAGCCACTGTGCCCAGCTGTTTGTTAGTTTTCTGCCTCAATGATCTGTCTAACACTGTCAGTGGGGTGTTGAAGTCTCCCACTAATACTGTGTGGCTAAGTCTCTTTGTAAGTCACAAAGAACTTGTTTTATGAATCTGGGTGCTCCAATGCTGGATGTGTTTATACTTAGGATAGTTCAGCCTTCTTGTTGAATTGAACCCTTTATCATTACATAATGACCTCCTTTTTTCCTTCTTAGTTTTTAAAGGTTTAAAGCCCATTTAATTGACATAAGAATAGTGACTCTTACTCTTTTTTTTTCCATTTGCATAGTAGATCTTTCTTCAACCTTTATTTTGAGCCTGTTGGTGTTGCTACATGTGAAATGGTTCTCTTGAAGACAGTAGATGGCTTGGTCTTGTCTTTTTATGCAACTTGTCACTCTGTGTTTTTTAAATGGGGTGTTCATTTACATTCAGCACTAGTATTGATATGTAAGAGTTTGCCTGTGTCATCATGTTATAAGCCATTTTGTAGACTTGGTTGTGTAGTTGCTTTATACTACAGGCTTTGCACTTAATTATTTATAGTAGCAGGTGCCGTTCTTTTAATTCCATGTTTAGCTCTCCCATAAAGACCTCTTGTAAGACTGGTCTAGTTGAAACAAATTCCCTCATCATTTGCTTTTCTGAGAAGGATTTTATTTCTCTTTTACTTATGAAACTGAGTTTGGCAAGGGTATAAAATTTTTTATTAGAATTTGTTTTCTTTGAGGATGCTAAAAATAGATCCCCAATCTCTTCTAGCTGATAAGATTTCTGCTGAGAAATTTGCTGCTGGTCTGATGGGGTTCCCTGTGTATATCCTGACCCTTCTCCCTAGCTGCCTTTAAGATTTTTTCTTTTGTGTTGACCTTGGTGAATCTGATTTATATGGACCTTGGGGATAGTCATCCTGTATAGTATCTAGCTGGGGTTCTCTGTATTTCTTGAATTTGCCTGTCAACCTCTCTAGCAGAATTAGAAAAATTTTCATGGACTCTTTCCTCAAATATATTTTCCAAGTTGCGTATTCTCTCTCCTTCTCTCTCAGGGATGCCAGTGACTTATGATTTGGTCTCTTTACATAATCCCATATTTCTCAGAGCCTTGTTCATCTTTCTTAACTCTTTTTTCTTTATTTTTGTCTGAATGAGTTGATTTGAACAACTGGTCTTCACGTTCTGTAATTCTTTCCTCAACTTTGTCTATTCTGCTGTCAGTCCTTCGGATTGTATTATGAAATTCTTGTAGTAAATTTTTCAGCTCAAGAGGTTCAGTTTAGGTCTTTCTTTAAATGGCTATTTTGTCTCTCAGCACTTGAATTATTTCACTGGATTGCTTGGCTCCGTTGGATTAAGTTTCAACTTTCTCCTGGATCTCCATGAGCTTCCTTGCCATCCAGATGCTGGATTCCATGTCTGTAATTTCAGTCATTTCAGACCGGTTAGGAACCATTGCTGGGGAGTGATTGGGCTAGTTTGGAAGTAAGAAGATACTCTGGCTTTTTGAATTGCCAGAGTCCTTGCACTGATTTTTTTCTTATCTAGGAGGGTTGGTGTTCATTTAACTGTGGTGTAAATCGAGTAGTCAGTTGGTGGCTTCATTTCTGGGAGTTTTCAGAGGGCTAAGTCTCTATACAGGGTCTTTGTTGTTAGATTCTTGCCCTTGGTTTCACAGGGTAGAGAATTAGCAGTTTTTTGGTGTCCCTGGCACTATGCCTGCTGAAGACCCATCTCTATCTAATCTCTAGGGAGATCCTACAAGCTCACATGTCCATGGTGGGTGTGGGTTTCCCTGTAGCTAGGATCCCAGAGGTCCACAGTGAGAGTGGGAAGCCTACCCCAGTCTCTTCACTCATCTCTTCCGCAGGCACTGTTAAGGGCTAGGAACCAGCCATAGTGTTCAAGCACCTCAGTTCCCTCCCTCTTCAGCCTCAGGTTTACTTCTTTTCTCCATCCACACTTGGCATTTTCTCTCCAAAGATATGTTCAAATTATGTTGGTTTAGCCAAAATCCTGGTCTCTCTCAGTGGGTGTGGCACTTCCCAGATGCATCTAGTCAGCCATCTTGAAACTCTCTCCTCATATGGTAGATCTTAAATGTTCTCACCACAAAAAAATAAGTATATGAGGTGAGGAATATGTTAATTAGCATGATGTAATAATTGTACAATGTACACATATAGCAAAACATCATGTTGTACAACTTAAATAAATACAGTTTTTATGTCAGTTAAACCTTAATAAATTGAAAGAAAAAAAGGCTGAATAACACAAACTGAAAGAAAAACTATAAATGCCAGTGAATATACCACTTTTTTAAAGATATAATAAAAGAGATTTGATAACTAAATTATCTTATTTTCCTTTCACTTTAGTATATCACTTAAAATTATGTAAGTAAATATACATTTACTATAATACAGTTTTAGAAATTATATATTAAAAAGTTATTTTGGAAAATTCTATGTACCTAAAATATTTCTGACAGATTTTTTTTCTATTCAGAATGCTTTCTCCCAAAAAAGATTCTGTGTATTCTATTACTACAATTGCATTTATATTTTCTGTTTCGAGACAGTCTTCTCATTCTGTTGCTCAGGTTGGAATGCAATAGCATAATCTTGACTCACTGCAACCCCCAGCTCCTGGGCTCAAGTGATCCTCCCACCTCAGCCTCCTGAGTATCTGGGACTACAAGTATGTGCCACCACACCCAGCTAGTTTTTGTATTTTTTGTAGAGACAGGGTCTTACTATATTGTCCAGGCTGGTCTTGAACTCCTAGGCTTGAGCAATCCACCCACCTTGGCCTTCCAAAGTGCTGGGATTATGGGTATGAGCCACTGTGTCAGCCTACAATTGTTTTCTTTATGGAAAACATACTTCAACTGATATATATATATATATATATATATATATATATATATATATACACATACACATATATATATATACACACACATATATATATACACACACACATAAATATATAAATTATATTTAATAATATATAAATCATATATAATTTATATATAATATATAAATATATATTACATATATTATTTTCAGATATTGATGGCCTTATGCATATTCATACATTCTGAATCTGAAAAACAAACTAAAACCCTGCCTGTAACCACATACTAATTTTTTTTTTTTTTTGGGATGGAGTTTCGCTCTTGTTGCCCAGGCTGGAGTGCAATGGTGTGATCTCAGCTCACTGCAACCTCTGCCTCCCAGGTTCAAGTGATTCTCCTGCCTCAGCCTCCCAAGTAGCTAGGATTACAGGCACACATCACCACACCCAGCTAATTTTTGTACTTTTAGTACAGATGGGGTTTCACCATGTTGGCCAGGCTGGTCTTGAACTCCTGACCTCAGCGGATCCACCCGCCCTGGCCTCCCAAAGTGCTAGGATTACAGGCGTGAGCCAATGTGCCTGGCCCACTAATTGTTTTTATATAGTTTCTGCCTTTCAGCGTTTATGCCATGGTCTCTATTTCAGTTGGAATAATAATTTCATTAATAGCTCACTAATTATTTTCTTACACATTCCTACAATATATAATACAACTAAGTTTTGTTCATTACATTCATTTTTATTTTATCTATAAAAGATAAGGATAATCAAGAAAGGAAAACAGTACTAACATAATATGTATTAAACTCCTATTGTCCTCTAGGTACCATATATAGTACTTTTATATAGTGACTCAAGATTCCATTAAAATTGTTAGTTTTACTTTTTTGCTAATGAAGAGAGAAAGACTCAGAGATGTTAGAGGACTTGCTTAAGGTTATACAGATAATAAATAGAGAGCTGGAAATATTCTATCAATTTTTAATATTATCTTACTACTATAGAGAGCTTGTTGTCCTGATCTTTATAAAAACTCTTACTTCTTAAAATACTTTGTTTTGTGTATCATTACCAACGAAGACAAATTAGAGTGATTTTTGTTTTTAATTTCTCAATGAAGACTGTAGTTCATTAAATGTGTTATTCTTAAAATACCAATAATCCAAACCCATCACCGTAGACCTTAACATCTTTTTTCTTTCTTTCTTTCTTTCTTTCTTTCTTTCTTTCTTTCTTTCTTTCTTTCTTTCTTTCTTTCTTTCTTTCTTTCTTTCTTTGTTTTTTTTTTTTTTTGAGATAGGGTCTCACTTTGTCACCCAGGCTGGAGTGCAATGGCACGATCTCGGCTCACTGCAACCTCCGCCTCCTGAGTTAAAGTGATTCTTCTGTCTCAGCCACCAGAGTAGCTGGGATTACAGGTGCATGCCACCACACCTGGCTGATTTTTGTATTTTTGGTAGGATGAAGTTTCACCATGTTGTCCAGGCTGATCTCGAATTCCTGGCTTCAAGCAACACACCCTCCTTGCCCTCCCAAAGTGCTGGGACTACAGGCATGAGCTACTGCACCGAGCCACTTTTAATATCTCATACTCTCTTCCCTCCAATTACTCTTTCTCTAACATGCATCTTAAGAATTTATGCTATTCAAATTCTAAAACTTAAGTGTAGTTCATCTTAAGTGTAGCTCATCTTTGTCACATTCTCCTATTTCTCTTTTAGCCTGCTCCACCAAAAGTGTATCCTCCCCAATTCAAGGATTCAAAGATCAGTGGGAATCAGTAAGGAACCCACAATAGGACCTGCCAGCCAAACCAAACATTCTGCTTCTTCCCCTGTCAACATCCCCCTACATCCACTCCCAACCCATCCACCGTTTGCCACAGGCTGTGAAAGAAGTGCTTCCATCTGGCTAGACAAGTAGCTGTGGGAATGGGAAATGACTCCAGTATAAATACATACAAACATATGTACACATGAAGATATGTAGATACATTTTTTTAAATGGAAAAAGAGCAAATGTACACAACAAGGCACACAAATAGAAAAACCAGAACAGATGTTAAGGCATAGTAATACCATTTAAAATATAGTAACCTTTTACTGGGTTCTAAGCACTTTATATGTGTATTTAATTTCATAATAAATGTGATAGATTATTAATGTTACCCTTATTTATCAAAAGTGAAGAAACTGAGGAACAAAGACATTTTCAGTCACTCCAGGATTCAAGTGGCCTACCAATTTTATACAGATTAAAAAATGGCAGCTGGGTGCAGTGGCACACGCCTGTAATCACAGCACTTTGGGAGGCCGAGGCGAGCAGATCACCTGAGGTCAGGAGTTCAAGACCAGCCCAGCCAACATGGTGAAACCCTGTCTCTACTAAAAACACAAAAATTAGCCGGGTGTGGTGGCTACTACAGCAGCCTGTAGTCCCAGCTACTTGGGAGGCTGAGGCAAGAGAATCGTTTGAACCCGGGAGGCAGAGGTTGCGGTGAGCTGAGATCATGTCACTACACTCCAGCCTGGGTGACAGAGTGAGACTCCACTTAAAAATGGCAAAGGCAGGCCTTTCCAGTCAAAATGTTCATCACATACTGTGTGGCAACAATACATTGCTTAACTTCTGTGCAAATAAGCTTGAAAATGTTGATGAAATGGATTGTTATGTAGGAAAATATAATTATAAATATAATATAGTATATAATATTTAATAATAGAACACAATAATTGACACCATCAAAAAGCTACCAAATCAATCTGTACTTTAAAAAAAAGGCAAGCCAACAGATAATTTCTGTTGGAGCCTGTGACTTGTATAGGTCACTTCAAATATCTGTTCCTTCCAAATATTGAAACCACAGAAAACTCTGATGATGATAGAGGGAAGAAAATTTAAAGTAAGTTTGAAATAACACCTCACATAAAAAAAAGTGATAAATAATGTTAGACTAAATAATGATAATAAACTACATGAGGATTGATAAATTTTGCCTCTGGTTTATTTCTTCTTAGTACAACTATTTTTTAAATTACCTGAATTAGTCAAGGTAATCCCCTCCAACTCACATTGCAATTGGATGTGCATTGGCTGGCTATCCCCTCCTATATGATTTCTCAGTTATCCAGGCTTCTTTCACCTGTGCCCACCTTAAAGGATATGGACAACAGAAACAGGAGACAGGAAGTGCTTGCATAGGCTCACACAAAATATTTCAGGGCCAGTGCCTAGAAATGATACGTATTACCTCTTGCTACATTCCACTGTCCAGAACTAGTCCCATGGCTACACTCTTCCTGCATAGGAGATTGCAACACGCTGCTCTTCCCATATTTTTAGAAACAATGTGATCAGGGATTATCTTGCCAGTTTCTGCCACAGTCCATATTTTTCACATTCAATTACCCACTTGGCTCTTCCTCACAAACATTAAAAAAAAACCTCATTCTTTCCAAAGGGGTCAACATAAAGGTCACTCAGCCCCTAGATTCAGCTCCTATCCGTGTAATACACAGTCTTTTTCTGCATGGGCAACAGCCAGTCCTTCCCTGAGCTCATATTTTCCTTGTAATACTTAGCCAACATGCATTACTGAGGTTCTTTTTGCCAATTCCTTCCCTTACAGTACATTAGAAACATGGTCTGCCTTCCAGGTGTTCCCTAGAACCAATTATTTTACCTAACAACTTTTTGGTAGTATGCCATCTCCTGACTGAGTGATGTTATAAGAAATAAAAATATAAGAAAGTCAGGATGCTCTCAGTATTCACAGATAAGAATGCTATTGATGATGTTATTCACTACATAACACAATGGTTTCTTCATGATGAATTTCTTTCCAGTGGCAATATTAGATACTGTGTTTTTCCTATCATCTGATTGTTTTTGTCACAAAGACAGTATGAATCATTTCTATCCTTGCCTTTGCTGCTGTAAAATCATGTCAGTTTATGGTAAACTTTCTAAAATATAATTTGAAAACTTAGAAAATATACAGAACTTTGGTTAATAAATTTAGCAACTATCCTCCTTGGTTTCATCATTTTTTTCTACCTATATGTTTCCATTTTTCCTAAAATATGTATTTAAAATAGAATATGTACCACCATCATCCCTAAAGTATGTATTTGTTTAGTTATATTTTTAATCGATTTCTTATGTTCTTAGGATCAAGGCTGAAATACAAAAGTAAGCAAACCAATATAGGAAAATAAAGAATAAAGGTCTATGATGGCTTGTAGAATCTCCTATGTTTAAGCCCTGTTTTCCCTAAAATGCTTCAGTTACAGAATATGAGAAAATATGGAGGGCAAAGGCTCTAAAACTTGATTGGTTTTAAAGATAATGCACATGTATTATCCAAGCTAATCTTCCCTAAAAAAAAGATCTGTAATACATAAATATAGAATATGACAGTTAAGTTGTTTTTAATTTGCCGGTGATTGACAAGGTAGGCCAAGAGGTCTCTCACTTTCTTTCTGGGAGGGACATTACAACAGCTGCTCACATACAGATTAATGGTCCATATATTCCAGTCTCTTGTTGCTGACCAGCTGATAAGGCATATAATTGCTCTTAACAATTGGGCATAATTTATTCCTGCCTTAGGTGGCTGTTACCTGCAGCAATTAAAGCATAGTGACTGATGGGCCCTGTTATGTTATCCTAGCAAGAATTTAGCTGAATCTGCTATTCTTACTCATTGTATACAGCACATCTACACATAATAGAAAATTGCCAGAAAATTGCATACAAAATAGTTTTGGCTCACGAAAATGTTCTTCTATTCTTATAGAATTCTAACAAACTTCATAAAATAGATGTACTACCCAATTTCGATAATGTGCCCTTTCACTATAAAGTTAAGGTATATTTAGCTATCAACTTTTTAAGGAATATGTATTGTTGATGTTAGAAAGTCACCAAAGCACACACAATTGACTTGCAAGTTCATCAGCTTAAGAAAAGGATGTTAGGAGAAGCAGTGATATGTGGAGGCATAGACTGTACCACGTGGAATACTCAATCCCAGAAGCATTTCAATAGACCATACATTTCTAGGGTATTTCTGGGTTGCCATTATAACAAGAAAACAATGGGACTTTTCTCCCAAGGGGAATAATGAAATGTTCCCGATAAGATGGATTATTTTCACTTTTTGAAAAATTAGATAAGCAGAGATAGAGTGGTGGTTGCAAAGGGAAGGCATAGTTTATGAGACGTGTCAAATTATATTCTGATATCATTTGGCTGTGTCCCCACCCAAATCTCATCTTGAATTGTAGTTCCCATAATCCCCACATGTCATGGGAGGGACCAGGTGGAGATAATTGAATCATGGGGGCAGTTTTCCCCATCCTGTTCTCATGATAGTGAGTTAGTTCTCATGAGATCTAATGGTTTCATAAGGAGCTTCCCCCTTCGCTGGGCACCCATTCTTCTCCTTCCTGTCACCATGTGAAGAAGGATATGTTTGCTTCCCCTTCCATGGTGATTGTAAGTTTCCTGAGGGCTCCCCAGCCCTGTGGAACTGTGACTCAACTAAACCTCCTTCCTTTATAAATTACCCAGTCTCAGGTGTGTCCTTATAGCAGTGGGAGAACTAATACACATGCCTCCTCCATAGTCTTCTGACACACAACCACAGGCACTGTA
The DNA here is from genome assembly GCF_000001405.40 of Homo sapiens. Classification (NCBI taxonomy): domain Eukaryota; kingdom Metazoa; phylum Chordata; class Mammalia; order Primates; family Hominidae; genus Homo; species Homo sapiens. The sequence continues at coordinate 76,180,088 of NC_000016.10, read as the reverse complement.
GGTATGAGTTCTCCACATGGCTCAAGATGGGGCTCTCAGCATCAGATCCTTTCTCCTCACCTTGAGAATGACCTCTAAAGCCTTCCAAAGCAGTCTCTTGGGTCTCAGAAAATCACCAAGATTACATTTTTGTTACACATGTCTACTCTTAGCTATTCTTGACATCTCACAGGAATTAATTTCAGAAGTAAAATACAATTCAAGGAAGAAGAATACTTAATTATGAACACAATGTCTTCCAAATTTTTATCCTTCTTACCATTAACAATAAAGAATAAAAGAAAAATGAGCAATCTCATTTTGATAAACAGGTATTTATTATTTTTTAATTTTTTTTCTATTTTATTTTGGGGGGTACATAGTTGGTGTATATAGATACTTTTTTAAAAAATAATAGAAATTACTTAACCCGTAACCCTGAAAATATGTTCAGGAGGATGCTTAATTGATCATTCTACCAACCCAATGGTTATATGACAAGGATGGTAAGTGGTCAATACTATGATATAAGATCTTCTGAATTCATTACTTTAAAAATAACTCACTCTAGTTTGTAATTATTCTTAAGAGGTTTCCATTATTTAACTAGCAGTACTACTGTAGAAATGTATGAGTAATAACATATTAGCATAAAACTATTAATCATACACACACATATACACATACAGAGAGAGATTTTTGAATTACAGTGAAGTTTTCTTCTAAATACCTACAAAATTATATGATGAATACTTTTCCTGGTAAATGTTTTAAATAATTCTTCCAGTTTATTTTTATTTCCTTTTTAATTTTTGAAAACATGTCTATTGAAGTGTCATTTACATGCTGTTAAATTTCACATATTTTGAATGCACAATTCAATTATTTTTCATAAATTTCCAGAGACCTACAACCATTCCACTATCCAGTTTTAGAACATTTCTGTCACCTGAAAATGTCACCCATTTGCATTCAATCTCTATTTCCACCCAAGCCCAGGCAGTCACGAATCGGATGTTGTCTGTATAAATTTGACTTTTCTAGGTATTTTATGTATGGAATCACACAACACGTACTCTTTTGGGGCCTGGTTTTATTTTTACTTATCATAATGTTTTGAGGTTCATTCATGTTTTAGCATGTATTAGTATTTAGTTTCCATTATTTTGTGTATCCATTCATCAGTTAATGAAAATTTTTATTGTTCTCACCTTTTGTCTATTAGGAATAATGCTGCTATGGACATTCAAATACAAGTCTTTAGTTAACACGTTTTAATTTCTCTTGGGCAGATACCTAAGATGGAATCACCGGGTTGTATATGTTCTTATTTAACTTTTTTTTTTTTTGAGACAGGGTCTTGCTCTGTCACCCAGACTAGAGTACAGTGCCACAATCACAGCTCACTGCAATCTTGACCTCTTGGCTGAAGCAATCCCCCTGCCTTAGCCTCCCAAGTAGCTGGGACTACAGGTGCCAGGCTAATTTTTGCATTTTTTTAGAGTCAGGGTTTCACCATTTTGCCCAGGCTGGTCCCAAATTCCTGGGCTCAAGTGATCAACCCACTTCTGCCTCCCAAAGTGTTGGAATTACAGGCATGAGCCACTGCGCTCAACCTCTTATTTAACTTTTTAAAAAATGTTAAACTATTTTACTAAATAGTTGCACCATTTTACATTTTCAAAAGTAATGTTTCAAAATTCCATTTTCTCCACATGCTTGTCAATGCTTGTTATAATGAATATAAAGTGTTATTTCATTGCAGTTTTAATTTGCAATTTTCTAATGACTAATTTGTTTAATATCTTTTCATATTTATTTGTCATTCACGTATCTTTTTTATGAAATGTCTATTCAAATATTTTGCCCATTTCTAACAGTTTATTGAAATGTTATTTACATGATAAAGTTCATCCATTAAGTATGCAACTCATTTACATACTAGTGCAACCATCGTCATAATCTATTTTCAGAACATGTTATCATCTCCCCAGAAAACCATGTACCTATTAACAGTCACTCTCCATTTCCTTTCTCCCCCAATTTTTAAATGGAATATTTTGGTTTTTTGATTGTTGAGTTATGACAGTTCTTTAGATATTCTTGATACAAATCATTTATCAGATAAACAATTTACAAATAGTTTATTCCTATCTGTTACTTGTCTTACTCCTTAAAGTCTGAAGTCAGATTTAGTCATTTTTCTTCTATGGATTGTGTTTTTAGTGTCATATCTGAGAACTCTTTGCCTAATACAGCCCTCGGAACAAACTATTAGGCTATTCTTGTGCAAAAAAAAAATTGAATCTCATAGAGTTAACTACCTTGTGGTTTACCAATTAATAACTGAGCTGATACATTTTATCTCCCATTTACAGAAAGACATTAAAAGGGACTTTCTTACCTTAAAATTGTTTCAATAAATATTATTGAATACTGAATATTTTAATTGAAGCCTAAGGGTCTAAAATCTGTATCCACGTAGCTGCTTCAGATGGAGGGCAAGAAGTACATATAATTAGTGCATCACCTTCAACATGAAGGAATGTTTTTCTATGGACCTTTTCAGAACTGTGTGACTGACTTATTAACCATATAACTAATAATAAGGAAGAAAAAAAACACTTGACTTTGTTTAAATGAATAAAAAGAGATCAACTAGGAAGTTTATGGACTGGGTAATATTAGTGCTTTTCGTTTCTTTTGAATTAACATTTTTGTATCGTGTGATAATTTTGCAATGGTTTATAAGAAAAAGTTTTAACAACAATGCAATAATCTACAGAAATCATATAAAACTGGCATGTTGCATATGGAAAAAAAGAGAAGAAAATCTGTCACATATTTTTCTTTCTAGCCTCTCAAGTAGGTGGTAATAGTAGTTTCTTCTCTTTGTAATTGTAGAAAAATAAAGTAAAAACATAGCAACAGAAAGCATAGTCAAAATGCTTTAATGGGCTCTTTTATAACCCAAAAGAAATTTGCTACTATATTAGTGATGTTTTATTGTGTCATTGTGGTTTTTCATTAATAATATTTTTCTATATGTATTCTATAACACTGGAATCTATTGAGATTTTATGGTAAGTCAGATGCCAGGAGTATTTTATGGTAATATGATAGTAAAAAAAATAAGATCAAGGGAGTGTCATGCATTCATATATTCATCATAAGTTTCTAATGTTTAAGAATAGCCAGAACTGGCATACTCGGTGTATGATTCTTCATAATCCCTGGCACCTTGATTTTATAATTTTCAGCAGCCATCTGTGCCCTTACCGATACGCACACATTGCTTCCATCACTCTTCACAGCTCAGCATCTTTACCTGTCAAACTCGGGAATTACTATCTGAATGAATGAGATCAACAAAGCAATCTACATTGTGCCACCAAGCTGTCCTGGGAGAATGCAATATCCAGGTAATATTATCCCATAGAAGGCTTTGACTTTGTTATTAGTAAACAGGAATTTAAACCCCATCAACACTAGTCATTCTGGGTCAGACCTTGGGGGGAATAATCACTCCCAGATTCAGTTTTCTCAACTGTAAAATGAAAATGAAAATGAAAACAGTAGGCATTCCTTCCCAGAAATGGCGTATGCCTAAATAAAACTATACATAACAGGCCTCCAAGTTAGAGGCTGAATAGAAATCACTCCTGATATTCAGGTATATCCGTGCAAGAGGTGTATGGATTTCAGAGTTTACTGTGAACAGAGTGGCAGGCACAATGGAATACAACTCTAGAACCGATGGCTTTTAAGTGGCCAGACAAGACAGGAAACATCAGTGAGCTAGACCAAGAGGACAAAGAGGGAAGCGAGAGAGCAGTTCCTGCAGAGAAAACCTCAGGGTATACAGAGTGCTGGGCACATGACATCATCTATATGCTTTTGAGTTTTTGCATAGTCCTTTTCAACATTCTTCTTCATGAATTTTAGCAGATATTTTTGTGATAAGTGTCACTTCATTATTTTATACGGTTGTTACTTACCACAAAAAAAATCACTTGTTAAATTGGTCTATATCAGTTGCTTATAAAGCATCGCATCAACATCTACAGCTTAGTTACTGAGTTTTGATAATGTATAATCAAGTCTTTCTTAATTTACATTGGTCCTCTGCCTTGTGGTCTAGTGATGATAGAACTGGTTACATGAACTATTTCTGTTATGTTTAATCCTACTTTTTACGTGGTAAATGAGTAAACAGTATGTTACTGTGGCTAAGAGTAGGGGCTTTACAGTCAAGGGGTTTACTTTCTGGGTACGTGACCCTTGGCAATATTAATATATCTAACCCATAAGGCTTGTCATAAAAATTAAATGAGATAATAATTGTAGAGTACTTGGCAGAGTGTCTGGTACATGGTGATATGGTTTGGCTGTGTCCCTGCCCAAATCTCATCTTTAATTGTAGCCCCACATATCATAGGAGGGACCCAGTGGCACATAATTGAATCATGGGCGCAGGTTTTGCCTATACTGCTCCCATGATAGTAAATAAGCCTCACGAGATTGAATGGTTTTATAAAGGGCAGTTCCTCTGCACACACTCTTTTGCCTGCCTCCATGTAAAGACATGCCTTTGTTCCTCCTCCATATTATGCCATGATTTTAAGTCCTCCCTAGCCAGGTGGAATTCTGAGTCCGTTAACCTCTTTGTCTTTATAAATTACCCAGTCACAGGTATGTTTTTATTAGCAGCGTGACAACAGACTAATGCACATGGCACACATTAAAAAATTGCCCGCTATTATTTTACATTTTCTAAGTGAACATAAAGTCTAGTTCAACTGATTTCTCTGAGAAAATGCCTCAAAATGTAATGTGTTTTGCTTAAAAAATGAATATATTTGTATGTGTTTGTTTTACAGTTTACACAAATCACACTTATATGAGCTTGGCTGGAACATATACATGCTTAAACCACTGGATGCTCTGTATTGTTGCATTATGCTGATTTGCCTTGAACACATATTATGGGTGGACACCTCAGGGTTGCCACTGTACTTCCTAGGGAGAGAGTGTTGTCCTCATGCCCGATGCTAATTCTTTCATCTATGTCCCAATTTTATCTTTTCCAACTTTTCAGCAAACTTTGCATCATCAATTGTGCCTTCTCTTATGTATATCCAAATGTATTTTTTTCTTTTTTTTTTTTTTGAGATGAGGTCTCACTCTGTCATCCAGGCTGGAGTGCTATGGTGCAGTCATGGCTCACTGCAGCCTCAAACTCCTGTGCTCCTGCGATCCTCCCACCTCAGCCTCCCAGCTAGTTGGGACTGCAGGCACACACCACCGTGTCCAGCTAATGCTTTAAAATTATTATTTGTAGAAATAAGGGCTTGTTATGTTCCCCAGGTTGGTCTTGAACTTCTGACCTCAAGTGATCCTCCTGCTTCTGCCTCCCCAAGTGCCGGGATTACAGGCATGAAGCACTATGCCTGGCCAAAGTGTTTAATGTTTACAAATTGCATTTCTTCAACATTTGGATATTCTTGAGCATTCTCCCAATATAAAACAGAATAACACCTTGCCCTTCCTCCCCCAGATCCCTCAGTCCTGACTTTTCAGCTGACTTTCAATCCATCTTCTTCCCCTCCTTTAAAGTCTAGTTCCCTGAAGTGGGTCTCTATGGGTGCTGGACCACCGCACACATACTGAGCACTGAGTCCCATGACATCAGCAAAGCAAAGGCAGAAAAATATCAAAGCCAGTCACAATGTACTCATGCATAATTGTGTCATTAGATGATGTACAAAAAAGCTATTCTAACTCCAGAAAACATGTACATTTTACGTCATTTTGAAAAATAAAATTTTATTCAGAATAACCTTTTAGAGAGTGAGCTCTATAGGCTTTCAAATGCTTACAGGTGCTAAAGTTCTTAATCTGATTCTGGCTCAGTTCTCCATTTATTTCCTCTCCTTTTATTTAACTGCCCCAACTTCTGTAACACAGCTTCACACCCAAAATAAGTCCAATGAAATTGCTTTTTCCAATGCCACCAATGTCTGCCTCATCACTAACACAATGGCCATGCTCCCTTAATTTACCTTAATATGTCTTCAGAACATGGCAGTGTTGATCTGACTCTTCTTGAAACTTTCTATTGCCTTGACTGAACACTGTATTTCAGCTGTACTACAATTCCCTCAAGTCGCTGAGAGATTCAAATACTTAGTCTTACCTCCTGTCCTTGGAATTTTCACCATTGTGTTTTGAATGCACATCACCCTACCTGTCACGTAGTAGTAGACTGCAGGTACCCAGGGAAGATGAATGAACTCATTGTTGAAGGCCTTAATCTGATTATCCATGACATTACAGCTTATATGACCTGTTAGACTCCCACATCTGTACCGATTTTGTGCTGAAACTAATCTTCCTCTATATGTCCCACCTAATCTTTGTAATTTCTGATTTTCTTCTCTTAATTCTATGCCTCAAAAGATTTTTAAGGTCAAAAATTGTATAGATGTATGAAAATTAATTGTGTTTCTATTCACTAACACTGAATAGTCTGAAAAGAAAATTATGAAAACAATCTCAAAGGCAAATTAAAAGTACAGTAAGATACAATCTTACCCCAGCCAGAAAGGCCACTATTAAAAGTCAAAAAACAATAGATGTTCGCATAGATGTGGTGAAAAGGAAAACTTATACATGCTGGTGGGAATGTAAATTAGTACATCCTCTATGGAAAACAGTATGGAGAAACTTTTAGTAAGAACTAAAAGTAATCTACCATTCAATGCAGCAACCCACTACTGGGTAGATACCCAAAGGAAAAGAAGTCACTATATCAAAAAGATGCCTGCACACATATGTTTACTGCAGCACAATTCACAATTGCAAAGATATGGAATCAATCTAAGGGCATACCAATCTATGAATGGGTAAAGAAAATGTGATATATATATATATATATATATATATATATATATATATATATATATACACACACACACACATACATATATATATATACACACACCATAGAATACTACTCAGCTATAAAAAGGATGAGATAATATCTTTTGCAGCAACTTGGATGGAACTAGAGGCCATTATTCTAAGTGAAGTAATTCAGGAACGAAAAACCAAATACCACATGCACTCGTTTATAAGTAGGAGCTAAGCTATGAGTACGCACAGACATACAAACTGGTATAATAAACACTGGAGTCTCAGAAGGGGAACGAGTGGAAGAGGATGAAGGATAAAAAACTACCTATTGAGTATAATGTACACTACTTGGGTGACAGGTACGCTAAAATCATAGACTTCACCACTATAAAATTCATCCATATAACAAAAAACCACTTGAATTACTACAGTTATTGAAATAAAAAAATTAAAAAGAAAGAAGACAATACCATTTACAATAACATTAAAAGAAATAAAATATTTAGGAATAAACTTAACCAAGAGGTGAAAGATTTGTATACTGAAAACCAAAAAACATTGCTGAAAGAAATTTAAAAAGACATAAATAAACATCACTACATGCCATGCTCATGAATGGGAATACTTAATATTGTTAAAATGTTCATACTACCTAAAGCAATTTACAGATTCAATGCAATCCCTATCAAAATATCAATGGTGTTTTTTACAGAAATAGAAAAAAAAATTAAAATTTATATGGAACCACAAAGAACCCCAAATAGCCAAAAGAGTTTCCTTATTTCAAAACATATTACAAATCTACAACAATCAAAACAGTATGGCACTGGAATAAAGACAGATATGAAGACCAATGAAACAGAATAAAGAGCCCAAAAGTAAACCCACATGTATATGGTTAAATGATGTTTGACAAAGGTGTCAAGACTATGCAATGGGGAAAGGATATTCTCCTCAACAAATGGTGTTAGGAATACTGCATATTCACATGCAAAAGAATGAATTGGACCCTTATCTTATACCATACACAAAATCAACTGAAAATGGATTAAAGATTTAAACCTGAAACTAAAATTGCTAGAAGAAAACATAGAGGAAAAGCTTTATAGCATTGGTATTGCAATGATTTCTTGGCTACAACCCCAAATGCACAAGTAATAAAAGCAAAAATAGACAAGCGGGACTACATCAAACTAAAAATGTTCTACACAGCAAAGGAAATAATCAACAGAATGAAAAGGCACCCTACAGAATGGAAGAAAATATTTGCAAACCATATATTTGATAAAGGGTTAATATCCAAAATATATAAGGAACTCTTACAACTCAACAGCAAAATAATTTATTGTAAAATAGACAAAGGACTTGAATAGACATTTCTTCAAAGAAGACATATAAATGATCAACAGGTATATGAAGATATACTCAACATGACTAATCATCCTGGAAATGCCAATCAAAACCACAGTGAAGCATCACCTCACACCCATTAGGATGGCCATTATGAAAAACAAACATCGAAAAACAGAAATTAGAAAATAACAAGCACTGGCAAGGATGTGGAGAAATTGGAACCTTTGTTCACTGTTGTTGGGAATGTAAAATGGTGCAGCTGCTATGGAAAACAGTATGGAGATTACTCAAAAAATTAAAAATAGAATTACAATATAATTCAGCAATCTCACATATCAGTATTATCCAAAAGTATTCAAAGCAGGATTTCAAAGAGATATTTACACACTCAGGTTTACTGCATCACTATTCACTATCACCAAGAGATAGAAGCATCTCAAATATCCATTGACAAATGAATGGATTTTTTCAAAATGTGGTAGATATGGTTATCCCTCAGTATTCAAAGATACCAAAATCTGAGAATGTTTAAGTCCCTGTTGTAAAATGGTGCAGTATTTGCATATAATGTATGCACATCCTCCCATGTACTTTAAATCATCTCTAGATTATGAAACCTACTAATGCAATGTAAATGCTATGTAAATAGTTGTTCTACTGAATTGTTTAGGGAATAATGACAAGAAAGAAAGTCACTATACACAACTTTTTCCTGAATATTTTTGACCCAAGTTTGGTTAAATCCATGAATGTGGAAACCACGGATACAGAGAACCAGCTGTAACACAATGGAACATTATTCAGGCATAAAAAAAGAAGATAATATTGTCATATGCTTCAACATGGATGAATCTGGCAGATATTAGGCTAAGTGAAATAAATCAGTGACAGGAAGGTAAAAACTGCATGATTCCACTTACATGAGGTATCTAAAATAGTCAAGCTCATAGAAAAAGCAAGTAGAATATTGGTTCCAGGGAGTGAGGGAAAGGAGAAATATGCTTGCGGTCATGATGAAAAAGTTGTAGAAATCTTCTATGTCACATTCTGCTTCTCATTAACAATACAGTACTTAGCTCAAAGACTTAAAATTTAAGTGGGTAGATCTCATATTATATGTCTTTTATCGTAATAAAAAAATTATAGAGAATGGTATTATTAAAAACATATGCTCTAACTTTCCTGAAACTTTATTTCTCTTGTAACTCTTTATTAGCATATTTTATATTATTTAGTGTACCCTAAAGTAACTACTTCATATCCTCTTTTTTATGTTAGTCTATAACCTGAAGCCCTGAAGAAGACTTGATTCTTTTACTTGAAAAGGCAGAGCCATAAACTATGATCTTTTCTCTCCCTGTATCAACCTTCACTCTTTCAATAACCTTTCTTTCCTTCCTACCCCACATCACTGAACCCATACCACCTTCCATCATTCCATGAGATTTCTCTATAATAATTACATATCTGTCTACATGCTTTGAGGATACCTTCCTGGCCGTTTCTCTCATCTTCATAGGTCAACAAATCTCCCTTTCTTGAAAAGTCAGGTAGATGTTCAGTTGATCCAATGTCTACTACATTTATTCTCCCATTTCTTGCCTTATTTAACTGCCAGTCACTAAGAAAGGGTGGGCTTCATTAACCATTCTCACTTCCTCAACATGTAGTCCTTCCTGAATTCCTTCATGATTGGTTTTTTGTTTTTGTTTGTTTGTTTTTTGAGACGGAGTCTCACTCTGTCACCCAGGCTGGACTGCAGTGGCTCGATCTCGGCACACTGCAAGCTCCGCCTCCCGGATTCACACCATTCTCCTGCCTCAGCCTCCCAAGTAGCTGGAAGTACAGGCGCCCGCTACCACGCCTGGCTAATTTTTTGTATTTTTAGTAGAGACGGGGTTTCACCATGTTGGCCAGGATGGCCTTGATCTCTTGAGGCAGGTGATCCACCTGCCTCAGCCTCCCAAAGTGTTGGGATTACAGGCGTGAGCCACCGCACCCAGCCAACAATTGGTTTTTAATCCCTATATTTACACATATATTATTCCCTTGAAGGACATTAATAACATCTTAGTTAATTGATTTCTCACCATTGGCTTGTTTGCATTCCTCTGGTTGGTTTATAACTGATCATCTTGGTATGTAACTACTTGGTCTTAGAAATATTAAGCAATGACATTTGTCTTTAGTAGAAACACATAAACAGTAATTTGGATCATAGTCTACAACCAGTTTCTAGAATATATCTCTGAAGTCCCAAAGGGATTTAAAAGTAGAAGCAAATCACTGTTGCATGTAAATAGAAGCTCATTTAACGTACAGCCTAATAATTTGAATGATAAAAGTGGATAATTCAAGACAGATGCTGACACCTAAATTATGGCAGTGAGTAAATACATCAGAGAAACGTAAAAAGCACCAGATGGATGCAAACACATTGGAGAATTGAGCTGCCCATTAGTAGATGATATCTGACTTGGAGGACTGTAAGCAAAATGTATATGTTTATGTATTTCTAGTATTTGCCTGATGATACAATCCCCACAGGATATTCAGGAGAAAGTAAAATAAGCCAGAAGAAATCCAGGGTCCATTAATACAAATTTTGCTGGAATTTTTCACAGCAAGCATTACTTTTCAACTTTTTTAATAAAAAGGAAAAGACAGTGTGCCAGATTAAAATGTTTCAGTTCCATTTTTAAATAGGAGACATATAAAATGATTCATTTTTATAATAAAAATTAAGGTTTTTATAATAATTGCTATAAAGTAAGGAGAATAATATAAAAAAGAAGGAAGAACAATTAGGTGTCACATAGCTCACTCCTACTTTATCAGATCTGTAATTGAAACAAGAATTAGTCTTTTTAAAAAAAATAAGTAAAGCAGGCCGGGCACAGTGGCTCATGCCTGTAATCTCGGCACTTTGGGAGGCCGAGGCGGGTGGATCACCTGAGGTCAGGAGTTCGAGACCAGCTTGGCCAACATGGTGAAACCCCGTCACTATTAAAAATACGAAAATTAGCCGGGTGTGGTGGCGGGTGCCTGTAGTCCCAGCTACTTCTGAGGCTGACGCAGGAGAGTCACTTGAACTTGGAAGGCGGAGGTTGCAGTAAGCCGGGATCATACCACTGCACTCCAGCCTGGGTGACAGAGTGAGACTCTGTCTCAGAAAAATAAAATAAAATAAGTAAAGCATTGATAATAAAGTATTGCTCAGTGGAATTTGAGGCTCCTCATTCCTCATTAGTTTCAATGTTTAGTAACCTATTTGAGAAAACATGTGATTTCTCAAAATTTAACTTGTGGTTATTAATCCGTTACAGAACTACCAAGAACTTCTGTTGGTTTTGTTACAATAAGAAATGGGATATCTTTTATCATCATTCTTTAGAAATGTTGTTTTCCCATATGATTGAAAGAGCTAGGAATCAAAGTCTTGCAAAATACACTCCAATCTTCTTTTTCCATTTGAATAACTTCTCCTTTTCACACCAACACTCTTCTTTGCTCCTACTTCTCTGTTGCCCACTTTATTTCTAATTCTGCCTTGCCTAGCATTGTTCCTATTTTCTTGCAAGTTATTTAATTTACTGAGTGCAAGGAAGAATTAAAATAAGATATGTGGTACATATCTTATTGTGGAGCGCAAGTAATTTCTTGCACTTCAATTCTGATTCATCCAAATTCCCCCCAAATCTCCTTAAGTTGATAAGGAACTTCAGCAAAGTCTCTGGATACAAAATCAATGTGCAAAAATCACAAGCATTCCTATACACCAATAACAGACAGAGAGCCAAATCATTAGTGAACTCCCATTCACAATTGCTTCAAAGAGAATAAAATACCTAGGAATCCAACTTACAAGGGATGTGAAGGACCTCTTCAAGGAGAACTACAAACCACTGCTCAATTAAATAAAAGACGACACGAACAAATGGAAGAACATTCCATGCTCATGGATAGGAAGAATCTATATCGTGAAAATGGCCATACTGCCCAAGGTAATTTGTAGATTCAATGCCATCCCCATCAAGCTACCAATGACTTTCTTCACAGACTTGGAAAAAACTACTTTAAAATTCATATGGAACCAAAAAAGAGCCTGCATTGCCAAGACAATCCTAAGCCAAAAGAACAAAGATGGAGGCATCACATTACCTGACTTCAAACTATACTACAAGGCTACATTCTTCAATATGTACATCAATTTTCTGTCTTCTATCAATCTTTTCCATTAGCTTATGGGAAACTCTTCCAAAATTTGCCTCATCCTTAAAAAAACAAAAAACTATTTACCTTTATTTTCTGTACTTGTTAGATGTTTCATCAAATCTTAGAGTGTCTGCATTCCTTGGGCATTCTTTAAAAGCAGGTATTTGCCACATATCTTATTTTAATTCTTCCTTGCACTCAGTAAATTTTATATATATATATATATATATATATATATATATATATATATATATATGCAAGAAGGATTCAATATTTATTGAACAATGAAAACGTGAGTATGTGAATGAGTGAACATAAGCTGAGGTGGATATGTTGATTTTTCTTTGAAGATAGAAAAATAATATTTACTTTTATTTCTATATAGTTACCTATGAAAAGAAGAATTATTGAGGAATGTTAGTAGAGCAATTATAGCAGAAAAGAGGCAGAATAAATATAGACCACACTTTTACACAAATTTTAGGAATTAATTACAAAGGAAAATGCCATCTACAGATTAAATAGAAATAACATATCAATATAAATAAGTAAGAGGTCCAGGAAAACCACATTACCAATTATATACCTTTCCTTCCTATGATATGAAATGCAGGGACTCTTTAAAGTGCATATATTTAAGCATTTTTTCACATCAACCAGGGCAGTGAATTTAGTGTCCCATGCATAGCAAGTGGTCAGTACATAATTGCAAATGCCATTCAACTTAGGTAGTTTCACAATCCCTCTGTTGCCAAGGAGTAAAGCAAAAAGGACTCTCAGCCTCCATTCAAAATATACCTTAAAATTGCCATTAAATTGAATATAATTAGAATTACAATTAAATGTTATAACATTTTTGGAAGAAAATGATTTCTCCATCAAGTTTTACAATGGCCTTTGGCATAGCACAGCAAAATTGGGCCTTAAAATAAAATCTCAGTTAAATGAAAAGCTCAGATTCACAATGTTCATACTTCAGAATTTCTGTATGTATATTTCTCTGGTGACCTTTCTAATGACAAAGCTTGAGATGATAGGCAATTAAATTTACATCCCAAGGCACTCTATAAATTTGTCAGGCCCAAAATAAATGCGCTGTGAAGTTCATAAAATCAGCTCCTGATACCAGGGAGTAGGTAAAGAAGAGGTAGCAGTTCAGTCCTCAGTCCTTCAGTGGACTTTGGATTAACAATGCTCAGCTCTGCACAAGGGTGAAGGACCAAGAAAGGCTCTCAATGCTCCCTAATATCAGGCATTTAATCACCCCAAATTATTTTAGTATCAGTACCCACAAGCAGAATATGGCCCCATTTCTAGTCATAAAGTTCACAAATTCACATGCACGTATCCTGTTCTTGGTAAGCCAGGTGAGGCACAGGCACTGATGATAATGATAAATAGCTAATGCATGCGGGGCTTAACACCTAGGTGACAGGTTGACAGGTGCAGCAAACCACCATGGCATACGTTTACTTATGTAACAAACCTGCGTGTCCTGCACATGTATCCTGGAACTTAAAATAAAATTGAATTGAATTAAATTAAAAGAAAATGCTCATGACTTTTTTGATGCCGGCAGATCCAATGCAGGATTGAGGAATCTCAGCGCTTATTTTCTCTCTGATTGTGACACTATGTCTTGCTCTTGGCCAGCTCAAACTATCATTTCAAGTGGACTATTTTTCTCCCCAAAATAGTGAAATGATGAATAACAAACAAAAAATTCCCAGGTTATTTCTATTCTAGTACCTTGAGTGGTGTCTGATAATGTCCTCTGTTAAGTAAGCATGCTACTATTAATTTTAAGCCTTTTTTTTGTCTTTTTTTTTTTTTGAGGCGGAGTCTTGCTCTTGTTGCCCAGGCTAGAGTGCAGTGGGACGATCTCAGCTCATCACAACCTCTGCCTCATGGGTTCAAGCGATTCTCCTGCCTCAGCCTCCCGAGTAGCTAGGATTGCAGAGATGCGCCACCACGCCTGGCTAATTTTGTATTTTTAGTAGAGACGGGGTTTCTCCATATTGGTCAGGCTGGTCTCGAACTCCTGACCTCAGGTGATCTGCCCATCTTGGCTTCCCAAAGTGCTGGGATTACAGGTATGAGCCACCATGCCCGGCCTAATTTTAAGCTTTTATTACTCTGAAGAAGTACAACTATAGAATAAAGTCAATAACTAAGTGTACTTAAAGCCTAGTAAGGTCTAGGCTCTCTCATCATTTTTCGGTTACAAAAGACCCATCAGATTCTCTTCTTCAAAGAACAGATGTGTGTCCAGTCTTTTGGGGAACTCCTGCCAGGGGAAAGTTTGATATCATAAGAGTCTTTAGCTTTTAATATATTTAAGTAACTATCCAATGGACAACCCATGTCTTCTATGTTGGCCAAAACTCTGTACAGTAGGGAAATTCCACATGGGAATTTTCAAGGTAGCAGATCAGCTCTAGATGCAAGGGAACTGAAAGCTGTTCTCTAAAACTGAAAAGGTGTTTATCAAAAGTAGGTGCTTACTCTAGTTCTCACTTCCTGTGCTGAACACATATCCATTAGTAATTTTGTATGGTAAAGAGTTTTAAAAGCAGATTCACTGGCAATAGGAAAGCATTTTGAGAAATAAAATACTTTTAGAAACTTAAATTTTTTCCTTTCCCTGGTTTTTAAAGATTTCTCCCACGTTTATGTTCAAAATATATGTCTATTTTCCATTAACATTAAATATTTATCATTAAGTGAAAACATGATGGTGTATGAGAATGTCTAAGTTAAACTTTAAAACCATTAGAAAAAGCAAAAAGGTTGTGGTTACTCTTTTTATGCAAGTGGAAATAGAAGAAAGCTCTTTAAAAATTACTAAAGTGCTTAAAACATAATATTTTCAAATACAGCAATAGAGAGAGAATTTAGATGCAGCGTGTTTCCATTATATTTCCTGGAGAAAATAATTGAGACTTGTGTAAACTTTTATCTCAATAATATCTTGACCCATTTATAGAAACACATCTGTAAGCAATAGTGTAAATCGCTCTGCAAACCACTATCACAGTCCAGCAAAATATAACAAACCTATCAGAATCATCAAATAAACATAAAAGGTAATCTCTGAGATTTAATCTGAAGTGAATGAAAAAATATTTGCTCAAGTAGGAGCTAATTCAAGCCTGTCTCTTTTGTTCTCAAAGAAGGTATTTATTTGATATCCCATTATTAAGCATCCACTATTTGCAAAGTCCTACTAAGAAAACAGAGAAGACTCAGCCATGGTCTACTGTTTTCTTGGAGTTCTCTTGGAGAGATAAAGACGGTGCTATTTCTACTGCAGTGTAAACTGTCATATTATCATAACAAAGGCAGTAATTACTATAGAAATAGGGAAGAGAGAAATTGATTAGAACAGGATAGGAAAGCGCAATAAAGGAATAGGTGTTACCTTGGGAGTGTTTAATTAGTGTTGATAGATGGCTATGGAGAAACAGGCAAGAAAAAGGGCTTTTCAAGTAGAGAGAACCTTATTATAAAAAGTAAGAAAGAATAAAGTGCAGGAGACTTTGGTTCATGGGATGTGTTTAAAATTTCTGAGCAGGAGAATGGCACCATTGATATCTCTTTTGGAAAGATAACACTGACAGCTGTTTAGTTTTAGTTTCCTAAATGAAATATGTACACCCTGGTCAGAGGTGGTTAGTTAGAGCGTAAGAAAATCAACTAGAGTTGGTTTATTTTAACTTTATAATTTCAAATATATTGTTATTTTATAATATGCACAATATTTAGGGCAATAGAATTTGTGCATAATTTATAATGAAACAAGTAGATAGGTAGGTAGGTAGGCTGGTAGGTAGGTAGGCAGGTAGGTAGGTAGGTAGGTAGATGGTACACGCACCTTTGACTGTTCAATTTTTTCTAAATACCTCAAACCTGATACTAAGAATCATATCACCACCAGCATCCCCTGTCCTATCTTAGTTGAGATTAGAGATAACTGATGCAGAGAATGTCTTGGAAAGGAATAGATTGAATAAGGTTGAGTTAAAGAAATGCTACTATTAATTTTAAGCTTTTAGTACTCTGAAGAAGTACAACTCTAGAATATAGCCAATAACTGAGTATACTTATTAGGTGGAGAAGGTGGAGATTCTGAAATGATTTTAAGTCTTAGACATGAATCAAGTTGGTATGACGTGAATCAGTAAATGGAATTCAAAAAAAAAGAGAGAAGGAAGTCAAGGGAGAAAATATGAATCACTAAGCCAAGACTCTCAAAAAATAAATAGTCTATATATTCTCTCCAGTCTCTTCACCATGGTGATTGGCAGGACAAAGTAAATTTAATTAGCTATGATAATAGTATTATGTTTCAATCCAAGGTCCAGGCTTTTCTGATCAAGTGGCATAGACGGATGAACATTGATATCTCTGAGTACAATATATATACTTCCAGTGGTTTTAACTTTCTTTCATTCTAATTAACGCATATAGCTGACAAACAGTAGTTTTCTATCAGTAAATGGGGATAGTACCAGAACTTATCTCAGTTTCCTGTGAGAATTAAATAAGTTAATACACATACAACATTTAGGTGAATCGACAATATATTAAGACCCAGGCCGGGCATGGTAGCTCATGCCTGTTAATTCCAGCACTTTGGGAGACCAAGGCAGGTGAATCAATTGAGGCCAGGAATTCAAGACTAGCTTAGCCAACAGGGTGAAATCCCATCTCTACTAAAAATACAAAAATTAGCTGGGCATGGGGGCGGATACCTGTAGTGCCAGCTATTCGGGAGACTGAGGCAGGAGAATTGCTTCAACGTGGACCAAGATCAGACCACTGCACTGCAACCTGGGCAACAGTGAGACTCTGTGAAAGAAAGGAAAGAAAGAAAAGAAAGAAAGAAAGAAAGAAAGAAAGAAAGAAAGAAAGAAAGAAAGAAAGAAAGAAAGAAAGAGAGACAGAGAGAAGGAAGGAAGGAAGGAAGGAAGGAAGGAAGGAAGGAAGGAAAAAGGAAAGAAAGACCCAATATATGGCAGCAGCAACTACTATTAATAATGACTGACATACAAGTTCCCCTATATTGAAATCCTGGAACCACCATTTATAAACCATTTTACCTAAAATAAGTTGCATATCTTTTCTAAAGGTCAGTTTTCTCAATGCATAGTGAACATGATAATACTATTATTTAAAACTTGGAAATAAGGCAAAAAGATGACTTCGTGTCATTTTATTGTCATACTGAAACAATAACAGGTCACAAAGCAACAATTATGAATTATAAAGGAGACTGTACTCCTGTTTTACACTTTATTTATTATTTATTTGGGTCCAGACTCCATGGAATTTCATGTTAACTTGTAGATTTTTATCTGTTAGAACTTCCAGTGATTTCTGTTTAGTAGCCCCCAAAACAAAAGATTGTATTGTGTTATGGGACACTGACCAGTTTTGTCCTACTATTTAGCAATCTTTGACAACGCTCTTTATTTCTGTTTGTGTATATGCTCCATCTCTTGAATTCTTTTTAGCGAGCTTTAACATTTTGCTTTCTCCCTCATTAATAGAATAAATAAATCTTTGGCATGTGCTTACTCTATTTTTGTGTGAGAGTTATTTTTAAACATTTTTGGAAATTATTTTTTAAATAACTAATATTTATTGAGTACTAACAAAATGTTATGCATAATTATTGACTCACTGGTTTCTAGAAATAACAATATGAGAGGAGAAATAGTATAAGCCATTATTTTACAAATAAGGAAACACTGGTGGGTGATTATCAGTCATTGATTAAGTAAATATCAAAATATGGTAAGTGTACCAGGCCCTAAGAATTACAATTCTTCAACTACCTCCATCTCTTGATTAAAGGAACTTAGGCTGCAAAACCACAGAGCTAAATTATCCTTTTATGATCCAAAACTCTATGGTTAGCAGATTAAGGAGAATATATGGCACATTTACTCTTTGAGATCCTTATTTTATGATTCATTATTTTCTCCTTTGATTTCTTTTTATTCCGTATTCTGTGTTTTAATTCAACTTATACCATCATTCATTAAGGTTTCAAGATTCCACATCCCACAGACACATAGTCCAAAGAATAACATATAATTATTCACAGAATTCTATAGCTTTTACATGTATAAAGTTGTACAAGATATAAAATAATCAGATTTCTAACTTCTGTTACAGTTTCTAATTGAACCTTTCTCCCCAGTCTGAGGCATATCCTGAACTAGCCATGCCTAACCTCAAAGGGCAATGCATTGCTATTGTTATTGTTCGGGTGAAGGCATTCAGACATAAGGTGAAGTTAAAAAAAATACATGTACTGTGTATGTATGTTATTCTGTATAATGTTTATATATAAATATGTATAATATAATATGTATAAATATGTTATTCATGTTTTTCTATACTTAAAATTTTGCACCTTATAAAGCAAACATGATTTTAAATTGAAATGAACATAACAATGAGTAAAAGTAAAAATTAAAAATTTTCTTTTTTCAATCCCAGTTGATGGTGTGTCATCTCATGTACCCCATCAGGATGAGTACATATCACCTAACTGTATTACTGCCAATGTTGTCTTCCCAAAAGAGGGATCTGATGAACTCAGTCTCCTGTTCAACATCTTCACAAACACACTGTGTCTTAGACATGACCTGAATCTTTCATCTCCTTGCTTTGGGTAGTATAGTTTGAGGGAAGTATAATGGAGGCATTAGTGATGTCTGTTGTCTACAGACTTCTCTTCACATGACCCTAGCAAGCCCCAAACATTCAAAGAGTGCTAAATGTTCCAGGGTACCCCCTCTCTCAGCTCTAGCTTCTCTCAGCCCTCTGTTCCAATCCATCTTCCACCTTCAGATATTTCTATATCCATTTCTGTCTGTGCTCTAGCACTGGTGGACAGCCTATCTCATGTCCTAGGCAGAATACTCCTTCCCCCGCCAAAAGTATTCCACGTGTCACATTACTCACATGGCAAAAGGGACTCTCCAGATGTGATTAAGTTAAAGATGGTGAGATGAGGGGATAATACTGGCTGACCTGGATGGGCCCAGTGTAATCACAGGGGTCAGTAGAAGA
The DNA here is from genome assembly GCF_000001405.40 of Homo sapiens. Taxonomy (NCBI): domain Eukaryota; kingdom Metazoa; phylum Chordata; class Mammalia; order Primates; family Hominidae; genus Homo; species Homo sapiens. The sequence goes on along the minus strand of NC_000016.10, from coordinate 76,160,540 downwards.
GGGAGGCAGGAGGGTAAGAGTCAGGGAATGAGATGTGACAACAGAAACAGAGATAAAAGATGGTATGCTGCTGATTTTGAAGACAGAGAAAGAGACCATGAGCCAAGGAATGGAGGTAAATTGTAGAAGGTAGAAGTGGCAAGGAAATGAATAGATCTTTAGAGCCTCCAGAAGGAACCTGCCTCCAGACCTGCCGATCCATTTATAATGTATTTCTGATTTCCAAAACTTTAAGACAATAAACTTGTACTGCTTTAAGCCATTAAGTTTGTGGTAATTTTTTACAACATCAGCAGGAAATGAACATATCTTTTATCGACATGCTTGAGTTCTTCCTCTTTACATGAAAGGTTCTAAGATAATAAACTGTGCCTTACTCTACTTTGTTTTCCACAGACTTCTTTAAAATAGAAGCTCAATTAATACGTATAGAAGGGATGGCTGTGAGAGCAAAATACACAGTTTAATTAGTCCTCCCCACTCAAACAGAATATTTATCCTCAATTTGGTTAGTCCAAAGGGACATTATTTATGATCTTAATGATCTTGAATATTTTCTTATATTTTTGTTATACTGAGAGGGCGATTGCAAAATTCATCTGTATACTGGGTAGTGGGTAAGTATATTTATGGGCCAAGCCATTTAGACAGCAAATGGAAAAACATAACTCCGTATGCCTCCCTGTATTCCCTTTTTTTGCAGGAAATAAAATTGAGATATATTTCCATAGTAAATCTAAATGTCTTCTATATTACCAGGTTTTAAAAGGTTATGTACATTAGATATTACATCATTGTTTGAAGTACATTAGTGCTTTTGAAAACAGCTGCCTTCAATCTCCATTCTCATAAAAAGAGCAACCACACAGTCTGTGCTTTTTATAATGGCTTTAAAATGTATATTAACTTAGAAATTCTGATCCACACTAATGTTTGTGTACCGTAATGTAGAATATTAATGGAGAACATAAAGGACGAAAAGTCTTTACAAAATAGGGCAGAAGGAGAAACTTATGCTTCTCAAAGTGTTTTTGGTCTCAAAATCGTTTTTCTTTGGCAATGAATATGTTTTTTATAAAAGCTTCATGAGGCAAAATTACTAATAAATGTGCGTATTTAGTACATTATGTTAGAAGAGAGTAGAGCCATTGAGTTTGAGAAACTTTTCTAGATGAAGGAAGTTTTGACCTTTGTTTTTATATGGAGCTGATCTGCCCTCTATGACATCACATTAAAGACAGTTCGCTATACACAGAAAGTTGGTGGACATAGGTGGTGCAGGGTGAATGTCAGGCTGTTACCTAAATATACCAAACATAAGGATTCCTGGGGCTTCAAAACCAGCTTTATTCCAGGACCAGTTTCCTAAAATATCGGATGCACATTTTTCCCTCTCTGAAGAACATGGTCTCCATCATCTTGGTTCTAACTGGGAACTCTTCTCTGCTGTACAGAGTAGGGGAAATGGAAAATCCATTTTCATCACAAAGTGCATCATTAATATTACTCAAGATCCAAGAATGGAAATGTACAGAGAGCTATTACTACTGCTATTATTAGTAGTAGTTATTCATCCTTTGCTCACTTTGGCAGGGTAAATACAAAAGGAACTCCAATTCTCTGAAATGAAAGGACAAACTGCTTAAGAGCATCAAGAAGCTCCTCCTGATTTATAATCCTTTGGGTATATACCCAGTAATGGGATGGCTGGGTCAAATGGTATTTCTAGTTCTAGATCCCTGAGGAATCGCCACACTGACTTCCACAATGGTTGAACTAGTTTACAGTCCCACCAACAGTGTAAAAGTGTTCCTGTTTCTCCACATCCTCTCCAGCACCTGTTTTTTCCCGACTTTTGAATGATCGCCATTCTAACTGGTGTGAGATGGTATCTCATTGTGGCTATAAATCATGCTGCTATAAAGACACATGCACATGTATGTTTATTGTGGCACTACTCACAATAGCAAAGACTTGGAACCAACCCAAATGCCCAAAATGATGGACAGGATTAAGAAAATGTGGCACATATACACCATGGAATACTATGCAGCCATAAAAAATGATGAGTTCATGTCCTTTGTAGGGACATGGATGAAGCTGGAAACCATCATTCTCAGCAAACTACCACAAGGACAAAAAACCAAACACCGCATGTTCTCACTCATAGGTGGGAATTGAACAATGAGAACACTTGGACACATGGTGGGGAACATCACACACCGGGGCCTGTCGTGGGGTGGGGAGAGGGGGGAGGGATAGCATTAGGAGATATACCTAATGTAAATGACGAGTTAATGGGTGCAGCACACCAACATGGCACATGTATACATATGTAACAAACCTGCACGTTGTGCTCCTGTACCCTAAAACTTAAAGTATAATAAAAAAAAAAGAAGAAGCAGCTCCTCCCCTATTATAACCAGAGAGAACACTTAGCCCAAAATCACAAATACCGTGTCACATTTTGCCTACAATAAAGAGGCAATGAGCATTTCTTAAATGGCTGTTTCCTACCTGAAGCGGCAGGGAGAGGACGTATACATGCATACTTCCGTACTTAATGACTAGAAACGGGGTTAAAAGCTGCATGTGACTTGCTCAAGGCTGAGGGGAACTTGAAGACTTTTTAAAGATCAAACATGATGTTTGGGAGGTTTGTGGCTCTCTTGATCCTTTGCCCTGCTGCAGAGCTGAGCAACACAATCTGTGTCTGTGTGAGCAGCAAGCCACCTGTTGGTAACAAGGAGTATGGTGTATTTGTCTTGTGTTTGACAAGTTCACAATTTACCTTGGGATGCAAATTTAATCCACAGCATTTAAAGACTTCATGAAAAGGGAAATGTTGAGCCACGAAAATTGCCTGTTGATCTGAGCTAATCTTTTACTACATAGGTTAGCATGGGAAAAATATGTTTATCTACTAAAATGATCTACATTTGAATCACAGGGGAAAAGGATATTGAATTTAAAGGTGGTTTTCTTTGGTCTTTTTATTTATTTGAATTGGTTGAATTTTTTTTTTCCTTTGATGCTGTGCATTTGCCTTCACACTCACTTCTAAAAATTTATCCAAAATATTCTTAATATTGATTCTCAACCTCTCCTGCAATGTTTCCTGAACATTCCTCAGCTATTCACTATATCTTCATTGATATTTCAAAGTTGTACCAAACAACTTACAGGGTGAAGTACTTGCGAAATGACAGAATTGGTAAAGACAAGGTTCCAGAACCTTGTTTTTATATTCAAATCAAAATAATTGGTGTTTCTAAAAAGAAAGACTAAAAGACATTGTGTGACTTCTAATGATCTAGATTAATGTTTTCCTGACTTACTGGCACACTGTTATGACTTGAGACTTTTCATTAAAAAAATAAAAAAAATAGGTCCTGGATTCTTCTTCCTCCATGCCCGGAGTAGAAGGGCACCTTCTGTCATCCAAGGAGCACAAGGAGCATCTCAGGTCTGACTTGCAAGACTCCTGGGAGTCAGCCTGTGTTGCGGCACTAAGGAAACACCAGGAATTTGGTTTGAGGCACTCTTCGTCACAAGTTGAAGGATCTTGAATATGTGACTTAGGAGGTTTCGTTTAGATTTTTAGATCTATTTAAATTTTAAAGAATTCTTATTCATTCATTCAGCCAGTAAAGACTGCAGGCTCTTGATAGCTAAAGCACCATGCTAGACATGGGGTACACACTGAGCAGTGATGTGACCCTCTCAAGGACCAAAGGGAGCCAGGAGTTTCCTTGGGGAGACAAATGTTGATTACATCATCACATCACACATGGATGTTGGGACATGGATGCTGGGACATGGATGCTGGGAAATGCCATATGCATTCAGACACATGGAAAATCTGCCTCTGCCTTTTTAAAAACGCAACAATGAGGTTAAGACATAAAGAAGGAATATGATGATATTAGTCAGACCAAACATGGGGAAAGAACATTTTAGGCAGAAGGAACAGCTGTGGTGGCCAAACACATCTTATTTAGTATAAGATCATCTCAACATATAAAGATAAAAGTGACTCGAACTCCTGACCTCAGGTGATCCACCCGCCTTGGCCTCCCAAAGTGCTGGGATTACCCAACATGGTGAAACCCCATCTCTATTAAAAATACAAAAATTAGCTGGAAATGTGGCATGAGCCTGTAATCCCACCTACTTGGGAGGCTGAGATGGGAGAATCGGTTGAACCCAGGAGATGGAGGCTGCAGTGAGCTAAGATCATGCCACTGCACTCCAGCCTGGGCAACAGAGTGAGACTCTGTCTCAAAAAAAAAAAAAAAAAAAAATACAAAAGGGACTATAGAGTTGTGGCATAGCCTCTCTAATCTCAAGACTTTGACCATTTAATGAGCTATGAAATTATGACAAGAACAGGTTCAGAAAAAAAAAGTCTCCAGCGAAGCTCTCACCAACCTAATCAATGTTGAATAATTAGTAGCAGAAAACATAAAGTCAACACATGAAATAAACAGATATCAATGGCATTATGTTTGTATTATACAGGTAATTAGCCATGTTAATCAACTATGGTTCTGGCATCTTCTCAGAATATTCTTCCCCCAAAATTTTAAGGAGAAAATATGCTACATTTTTTGCAAATAAAATTTCCTTTTCTATATCTTACATCTATAATTTCAGTCTTTTGTTGTTATTTTAGAATGTAACTTGCTACAAAATTACACACAAGTATTATGGAAAATTCTGGAAATACAGATGAGCAAAAAAGGTTAAAAGATGTCATAAGCAATTTCTCTACACACAAAGATAACTGTGTGTGTAAGTGTGTGTTCCACATAGTTTTTGAATCAAAAGACATAACCATTGTAAGGCTTCACCATATGGCATAGGATGCCCTTGCAGAATGATCATATCAATTACACTCACATCAGCATTGGATGGAGATGCATATTTCCATTTTCTCAGAAATCATCCCAGAAATAATACGGTTGGAAAACATGAAGGTAAAAGTGTGGAAAATTATCTTTTATATCATGGTAGTTCCTCAGATATAAGGCATTTTTACATTTGGTGGACATTGGTACATAAAATATCTTGTTTGAATAGAATCGTTTTACATACTTTTCTCTAATTAGAAATACTAATTAATCCTTTGCTTGGCTTCTTGGTCTTTGAATTTATCGGTCTTGAAAATATCAGTTTGTTATCAACTGATTTAATTGTTTTGCAAGTTGAAGGAATTTGTGTTTTTTTCCCAAGAAAACAGTATATCACATGGGTAATATTCCTTAAAATGCATGTACGCTATTTACAATGAATATTTCAAAAGATGAATAATATTCCTTTTTTCTCAAATTTCTAAAATTGAGATCCAGATTTCCATTTGTGCAAGAGATTTTACACCCAAATCATTAAATATTTGGGAGGGTAATATTTAAACTTAATATTTTTTATTGAGATAACTCCTAGGAATTTTGTATCAAATTTTAAAACTTTATGACAATGAAAATATATGGTACATTTTTGTGCTTTGCAAATTGGGCTAAATTTCAAACTTAATTTTTAGGATTACAGAAAGTATTTTGTATATATTCTTTTGTTAAATAGGGATTTCTTATTATTTTAAAATAATGTTATATGATTTAACCACAATATTATTATATGTATGCTGAAGTTACAATTTGAATCTTATGATTTTCTCAACAGTCCATTTTCTAATTGCATATAAACAAAAGTCTATTATGATAATAGTATTAAATGCCTGTATTTAAGGGTCAATTAAAGCAAGCATATATAACATTAAAATTAATTATATTCTATATTTAATAAGTTATTCATCATTGATAAAATTACATTTATTTTTAAAGTCTCTGAATTTGCTGACTTGATAAAAGAGGAAAACAACTCTTTCTAAATGTTATTTTACTTGTAAACTCAATTTGAATCGAAGGCTTGATATGTAGTGCCCACTGATTCCACAGGGTAGATCATTAGTAAAATCTACTTCAATCTCATGAGTTTTAGCTATCTACAAGCATCTGCATTCTATAGATTTAAGGGTTTAGATGTCTTATTCGAATAAGTTTGGGTTATATCCACACAAGTGTTTGGTTGAAACGATGTACCTCAATATCATGTTTTCCTATCCTGATTATGACAGGTTTACTGAATCCATAGAAAGTCTCTACGAGGCTATTCCTTTGTCTTTTCTCTATTGGAAAATATATGGACCTAAAAGAACATATGGCCATTTTTAAAAATACTCTATTAAAAATTGAGATGTGAAAAAGACGTGCAAGACCACTAAAAAGGAAAGGAACTGAAATGGAACTTATTTCACTGAGTCTCAGATTCAACTTTTGTAAAACATTTTGAATGTAACTTATTTGTGAGGGTCAATATAAACTAATTATAGTGTACTGTTCCTTTCCTTAGAGTTATAAAGGAATACTATTTCCACTACTTTTCCAAGAGTACTGCAGACAAATTATAGCCATATATCCTAAAGAGGTTTTTGAGACATGATTTTCCATCATCAATATCCATCATAGAAAATGACATAGAAGCATTAATGTGTCTAATATAGAGTACCCACTAATTCTCGCACACAGTTGGGGAGAAAACAGGGTCACCAGTATTTACACAGACTATTAATATTGTCAGTGTCCTGAGAGTCTACTCAGAACCCTTTGGTTTCTACTAATTATTATTAATTTTATAAGATCTAGGAGCAAGCAGCTGCCCCTTAACTAGGTTAGCCCATAAACCTCTGTGAGCCAATGACCTTCACAATTGAAGAATTTAATTATTGCCACAGTGCTGTCAATCAGAGGAAGATATTTGATGAGCTATTAAGACAACCTCTCAGTAGCTGAGATATTTTAAACAAATAGAGTCTTTTTCCAACATTACAGAGGGAAAAAAAAGTCACACTGCAATATCTTAGGGCTCCTCTGGGGAAGATACATCATTTGAAAACACTGAGGACCCCTTAGAATAACTCAATAGCTCACTGGATGAAGTTCTGAAATGAATGCAGAAGTAATAAGACTTTTAAAGATGCCTAATTAATCATTGCATTTGTAAAAGATAAACACAAATGGTTATCAGAATCTCCTCTTGTGAAGTTGCTAACATGCCTAGAAAAAAGTTTAAAAGTTAAAGAGTATAATTATACATAATAGTTAATATTTTCTAAGAACACATTTTAAGGAATAATTATTTTTATAGAGTAGATTTTGCTCTAAGATCATATAACTAGCTTGTGAATAAATATCAAAAAGAATATATTATTCCTAAGCAACCCTTACATTTCCTAAATAGTTACAATATACTACAGGAAGGAATTTCTTTGTAACTAAAAAGTGTGCCTATCATGCATGAGACATTTAAACAAATAAAAATATTTTCTATATTTATAACTAGGGGGTCCTTGCCTGTATTTTGAAGAACCTCAGCTAGCTAGTGTCAACATAAAAAACATTTGTACAGCCATACCTCATTTTATTGCATTTTGCTTTATTGTGCTTTGTAGATATTGCATTTTTTACAAATTGAAGGTACATGACAATCCTGGGTCAACTCAGTCTATTGGTGCCATTTTCCCAACACTATTGTAAACTTTGTGTTCCTGTGTCACATTTTGCCAATATTTTACAATATCTCAGACTTTTTCATGATTACTATATCTGTTATTGTGATCTCTTATCAGTGATCTTTGATGTTACTATTGTAATTGGGGGCACCATGTACTATGCCCATATAAGACAGCAAACTTAATCAATCAATGTTGTATCCTGATTGCTCCACTGACCTTCTGTTCCTCCATCTCTCTTTTTCTCCTTGGGCCTCCCTATTCCCTGAGACACAACAATATTAAAATTAGCCAGTTAACAACCCTACAATGATATCTAAGTGTTCAGGTGAAAGGAAGAGTCGCACATCTCTAACTTCAAATCAAAAGCTAGAAATGATTAAGCTTAGTGAGGACGGCATGTCAAATGCCATCATAGGCTGAAAGATAGGCCTCTCATACCAAACAGCCAACTTGAGAATGCAAAGGAAAAGTTCTTGAAGGAAATCAAAAGTGTTATTTCAGTGAATACATGAATGATAAGAAAGCAAAACAGCTTTATTGCTGATGTGGAAAAAGTTTGAGTAGTCTGGATAGAAGATCAAATAACCACAACATTCCCTTAAACGAAAGCCTAATCCAGAGCAAAGTCTCAACTCTCTTCAGTTCTATGAAGGCTGAGAGAGATGAGGAAGCTGCAGCAGAAAAGCTGGAAACTAGCAGAGGTTGCTTCATGAGGTCTAAGGAAAGAAGCCATCTTCACAACATAAAAATGCAAGGTGAAGCAGCAAGTGCTATTGTAGAAGCTGCAGCAAGTTATCCAGAAGATCCAGCTACGATAATTGTTAAAGGTAGCTACACTAAACAACAGATATTCACTGTACGGGAAACAGCCTTCTATTGGAAGATGATGTCATCTAGGACTTTCATAGCTAGAAAGGAAAAGTCAATGTCTGGCTTTGAAACTTCAAAGGGCAGACTATCTTGTTAAGGACTAATACAACTGTTGATTTAAAGTTGAAGCCAACGCTCATTGACCATTCTGAAAATCCTAAGGCCCTTAAGAGTTATATTAAATCCACTCTGTCTGTGTTCTATAAATGGAAAAACAAAGCCTGGATGACCTTACATCTGTTTACACCATGGGTTACTGAATATTTTAAGCCCACTGTTGAGATCTATTGCTCAGGAAAAAGGATTTCTTTCAAAATGTTACTGTTCATTGGCAGCACACCAAGTCACCCAAGAGCTTTGATGGAGATATACAAGATTAATGTTGTTTTTGTGCCTGTTAACACAAGATCTGTTCTGCACCCATGTATCAAGGAGTAATTTTCATTTGCAAGTCTTATTATTTAAAATTATTATTTAAGACTTGTATTATTCAAGATGTGTAAGTTAAAATTATTATTATTTACAAGTCTTATTATTTAACACTTATAAAGCCATAGCTGCTATAGATAATGGTTACTATGAAAGATCTTGAAAAGGTGAATTGAAAAGCTTCTGGAAAGGAGCCATCATTCTAGATGCCATTAAGAATATTCACGATTCCAGGAGAAGATCAAAATATCAACATTTACAGGAGTTTAGAAGACATTTGTTCCAACCCTCATGAATGACTTTGAGGGGTTCAAGACTTCAGCAGAGAAAGGAAAAACAGATGTGGAAATAGCAACAGAGCTAGAATTAGAAGTGGAGCCTGAAGATGTGACTATATTGTTAACATCTCATGATAAACTTTGAATGGATGAGGAGTTTCTTATGGCTGAGCAAAGAAAGTGAATAGACTACAGTATAGCATAAATATAACTTTTATATGCACTGGGAAACAAAAAAAATTGTGTGTGACTGACTTTCTTGTGATATTTGCTTTATTGTGGTTGTCTAAAACCAAAACCACAGTATCTCTGAGGTATACCTCTATTAACATTTGTGATAGCAGAACCTGCTGAAAGTTGTCTGAGAAATAAATGAAAACATCTCTATTGATAAAAACAACTTACATAGAAAATTAGCCATTAAACAAAGACATTTATTTTTATCAATGATTTGTATTCACCTTAAAATACTCCAAATAAAAAATGTGAAGAATTGATTTTGACAAAATGAAAATCACTCATTTATTTTTTATGATCATATTTTAAAAATAAATTACTATCATATATAAAATGGTACCAAATAAAATTATCATGCCATATGGACAATATTAGTTACAGACAGTCCCTGACTTACGATGGTTCAACTTACTATGTTTCAATTTTATTATGGTGCGAAAGCAATGAACATTCACTACACGTCTCAACTTATAATGCTGTTACATCTGAATAAACTCATCATAAGTTAAAAATTAAAAACACAACTTCAACTTATGATACTTTCAACAGGATGGGTTTATCACAGTGTAACTCCATTGTAAATCGAGGAGCATCTGTATATACTATGAAGCATTTTGGAGGCAGGGGCATGAGAACATAAACCACACCTTTGGCAAAATGATGAACAATGGGGAGCTGTGGCGCTTCCTGCAACTTACCAGGGACTATGTAGTAGCTTGAAATGGTCACTAATTAAATGGTTTCATAAAACCAACCACAGCCTGGAGGCTTCTGCTTATAAATTATTTTTTGTTTGTAAAAATGTATTACATCATTCATTGAAAAAAATCCCCAAATATTTTATTTTCTAAATTTAAAATAGAAAGTTTTTATTTGATCCAGCAATCTGATTACTGAGCATATATCTGTAAGAAAATAAATTTTCTGCCCAAAAGACATCGGCACTCGCATGCTCATCACTGCGCTATTGACAATAGCAAAGACATGGAATCAACTGAGGTGCTGATCAATGGTGGATTGGATGAAGAAAATGTGATACTTATACAAATGAAATACCACACAGCCATAAAGAAGAATGAAATTATGTCCTTTGCAGCAGTATGCATGCAGCTGAAGGTCATAATCCTAAGCAAATTAACTCAGGAACAGAAAACCAAATACCACATGTTCTCACTTACAACTCAGAGTTAAACATTGAGCATAGATGGACATAAACATAGGAACAACAGGGACTGTGGACTCACAGAGGGTTAAGGAAGGGGGCCAAAAAAGTACCTATTTGGTCCTATGCTCGCTGCATGGGTGACAGGCTCCATCGTACTCCAAACCTTGGCATCATACAATAAATCTATACATGTACCCTCTGTACCTAAAATTAAAAGTTATAATTTTTTTTAAAAAAGAAAGTTTTCAGAAATTTTAAACTGACCCAGATTAAATAGCAGTTTTGGGGGGTGGGAAGACTGGAAAGTGGACCAAAGAAAATGGCAAGAACACAATGGGAAGAATGGGGATGAGCTGGTGAACAGAATGCAATGCAGTGGGCCTTTTACTAATAAAGTGCACTTTCAAACCAGATAAAACTGTTATAAAATGGTAAAAACAGGATTTTAATGGCCCAACCTCATTATTGAATCAATGAAGTATGATACAATATCTAACTGTTGTGCATCAGACTGATCAATACACAGAAACTCAATGTGTGTTTTTAAACAAATGAATCAAGGAATAAATGAATGGATATGAAATTTACCTTTAAGTCTTTTGGACATTTTATTATGGTACTTTATATTTTCTTTTGTAAGTTACTGTTTTCTAAAACATTTATATTTTTAAGAATATTTGATGCTTTCTGGGGATAGAAGGATGGAATATTTAAGAATAGTATTGATCATGTGCACAGAACCAGTTAAAATTTCTGTTTTCCAAAGTAGAATTTGAAATTGTTTGTAGAAAGGTGTTATTCCAAATGTATCAGGTAAGTTTTCTGTAAATGTTCACCTCTCTTTCTAATCTTTTCAAGACTAATTGAATTAAACTCTTACTTACTTTTGAATAGAAACAGGCTGAAAAATAGCTTAAAAATTAAGGTTATATTAGTGATGTCTTTTCTCATTATTTCTGTGGGAAATTGTGAAATATAAGTGCATGTCTTGTTGACACAACCTTTATTTATTTATTTATTTGAGATGGAGTCTTGCTCTGTTGCCCAGGCTGGAGTGCAGTGGTGTGATCTTGGCTCACTGCAACCTCCACCTCCTGGGTTCAAGCCATTCTCCTGCCTTAGCCTCCCAAGTAGCTGGGACTACAGGCACGTGCCACCAAGACCAGCTATTTTTTTTTTTTTTTGTATTTTTAGTAGAGATGGGGTTTCACCATGTTGGCCAGGATGGTCTCGATTTCTTGACCTTGTGATCCACCCACCTCGGCCTCCCAAAGTGCTGGGATTACAGGTGTGAGCCACCATGCCTGGCCCATGACTGTTATATTTTTAAATAATACGTATCAATCTATTTGTCTGCAGTTCATGGATACTAAACTATATTCATTTATTTCTGCATAAAGCCATATCAGTGACTGTCCAATACTCTATCACCTAAGTATGAAAAGTAATTTAATAATTTTTCAAAAATTATTAAGAATTTAAACCCTCTTTGGAATTATTTTAGAAGAGCTATCTCTACTTTGTTTTTGCCTCATCTTTTAGCAGAAATCTAATGAAAAGAAAGCTCTTTAATTGTATTTAATATTTTAAAATTCCAATAAGTTTTCAGATTGATAGTTTGCAGCTAAACCCTGCCTTATTTTCTTTTTTTAGACATACTAACATTCTCCAATTTCAAATCATGTTAGGGAACCCAGAAAATAAAAGGTTATCCATATTCGTTTTCTATTGCTGGGTAACAAACTACCACAAAATTAGCAGTTATAAAAACACACACTTATTATCTCATGGTTTCTGTGGATAAGCTTAGCTGGCTGCTCTCCTACTTAGTGTTTCACAAAGCTAAAATCAAGGTGTAAGCTGGGCTGTGTTCTCATCTGGAGGTTAGAATGGGAAAGAATCAACTTCTACTCTTACTCAGATCATAAGGCAGAATTAATTTCCTAGTGTCTGTAGAACTGAAAACCTGGGCTTCTTGCTTTCTACCAGCTGAAGGCTTCCTTCATCTCGAGTTACCAGGGGCCACCCCGCTTCCCAGAGGCTGCCCACAGTTCTTTGCCATTGTACTTTACTAACATGGTGGCTCACTTCATCAAAACAGCAAAGAGAGTCTCTAGAGCAAGTCTGCTAACAGTAGAGTGTTTTATATAATGTGATGCCATCCTGATGTCATCTTGACATCACATCCACCACCTTTGCCATTTCCATGGCTTAGAAGCAAGTCACGGGTCCTAACTCACACTCAAGAGGAGGGAGCCACACAAAGCAATGACCATCAGGGGAAGAGATTAGGGGTGCCACCTTAGAGTTTGCCACACGGTCTTCCTAAGAAAACCAAGATCTAGAATTTCTAGTAGAATTTTCTTTTGTTCGTCTAAGAATCAATTGATTCTTAATTCTAAGCTTGAAGTGTAACTGCATTTTTATGGGTAAGTTAAATGTATCCATTTTTAAGCCTGTGAAAATATTTTGAAAGAAAATTACTACATTACTCTATGGGAGAGAGAATGTGTATATATAAATATCTATATAGAAAGAAAATACATTGAGAAAATATGTATTTGTTCACAAATGTATACAAATGAATACTTTGATATATAGACATATTTAAATAAAATGTAAAAAGCACTTATATATTTTGGGGGCTTTTTAGATTTAAAATACATTGTTGATCACATCTGCTAATATTCCATATTTACAAAGGCAACGCCACCATCTAAATTAATGGTCGTAATTAGCAGATTGAGTTTTCCACCACAGGCAAATATCTGTTTTTTAGAGTTGTAAATGAGCATTTAAAGGTTGAAGCAGCGGGTAGTACATTCTCTGAGAACAAAATGATTATTTAACAAAACTTATAAAGAATGAAGTATTCATACTAATTAATTCTTAAATATAGATTATGTACATGAATTCTTAATATTCCATTTTAAATTTTATTTAATATTAATTTAGCCAGTGAGAAGAAATTGTGAAAGTTTTATTTGGTAATTTTGCTTGATTTCTGTTCTGTTTATATAGAGTTTCTGAGTATTATTCTCAAGAATTAGGTGAAAAAAATTTTAAATTAATTATTATATATAGATTTAGAAACTCACTTTAACATGAAAGATAGCTTTAATATTTTAATATTTAATGTAATTGACACATTTCCTAACAATTATTTTAATAATTATCTATGGATTATATTGATAGGTAAAATAGTGAGTGAAAAATCAACCCATGGAAAAATATTTGACATTTGATATATTATATTGAGAAAACTACCTTTGGGATTGTACCATAGGGATCTTGCTAAGCTGCATTATCTTAGACAAATTAATTACTTCTATTGACCCTCAGTATAATAGACATAGTAATTATTACCTAACATGGTTATTTGATTTGGAAAACAATATGCAAATATATTTTATTCTGGGAAACCTAAAAATTGTGCCTCCTTTGTTCCTGCACCTCACCTTGTAAAACACATAAATTAGTTCGCAGGAATTAAAAATTTAAAAACCCAGATTATTATAACTTTTTATTTCAAAATAATTTTAAACACCAAAGAGTCTGTAAGGATATTAAACAAACTGCTTATTACATCAGCTAACATTTCATATTTACAAAGATAAAGCCACCATCTAAATTAACGGTAGTATGTAGGGCTGTACATCTTGTTAAACTGTCTTCTCAGTCTTTTGATACGTTCTATAAATTTTTTAAGGAATGTTTTGTTTTCTGATACAAAAAGACATTGCACGGCTCATTCTTCATGGTGCCTTCGTTCTCATTTTGTTGGAATTGTGTTTAAATGCTAATATCTGGATGCTAGATGTACTCTTTCTAACTTGGGTAAGATCTCACATTCTCAACAATTTGCATGCCCCCCAAATAACAAAATGTCCAAATGGTAATTATATTTCTAGTTTACATCATTTTTAAAAATTGAAAAATAAATTATAATTGAAACATGTAGAATCAATTGCAAAAAATTTTAATCATATAATTTGACCACTTACGTTAACCAATAAATTAAATACAAAAGTAACTCAGAAAATCTTAGTCTTTTGGGCTGCTATAACAAAGTACCATAGACTGGGTGGTGTATAAACTATAGGCATTATTTCTCACTGTTCTAGAGGCTGGAAGTTCAACATCAGGGTGCAAGCATGGCCAGGTTCTCGTAAGGGCCCTTTTTCACATTGTTGACTGCCAACTTCTTTTTGTATCTTCACATATCCTCAGAAAGAGAATGAGCTAGCTCTCTAACCTCTCCTTACAAGGGCACTAATCTCCTTCATGAGGACTCCACCCTCATTACCTAATTACCTCTCAAACTCTCTACCTCCAGGTACCATCACACCGAGATTAGGGTTTCAACATATAAATTTGGGGAAGACACAAACATTCAGCTCATTTGCATTATCTTAATGTACTACTAGCTCCATAGAAGCTCAAAGGCTGCGAATTAAATATATTTTCTTTCTTCCTTTTTTCCTAGCTTTATCTAAATTCAAAGGCATTGTGATCTTTTATTTATGGATTAAATGTGCATTAATCTAAATGAAAATCACTGTGATATGGTTTGTCCATGTCTCCCACCAAATCTCACTTCAAATTGTAATAATCCCTATGTGTAAAGGGCAGGGCCAGGTGGAGATAATTGAATCATGGCAGCAGTTCCACCCATACTGTTCTTATGATACTGAACAAGTCTCATGAGATCTGATGGTTTTATAAAGGGGAGTTTCCCTGCACACACTCTCTTGCTTACCACCATGTAAGACGTGACCCTGCTCCTCTTTCACTTTCTGCCGTGATTGTGAGGCCTCCTCAGCCATGTAGAACTGTGAGTCAATTAAACCTCTTTTCTTCATAAATTACCCAGTCTCAGGTATGTCTTTATTAGCAGCATGAGAATAGACTAATACACACTGAAATACGGTATTATAGAAATATAGTATTATACTGACCACAAGTCTCAGTTTGGGGAGAACAGTCCAGGTTAACTGCCATACCCTGAACATAATTATTAATGTTGAACTATTTCACCTCTCAGGAGTGCCCCAGTTTGGACAAAACTCATGCAATTGACCAATATCCAATTCACCACCTGTTGTGATATGTTATTGGTACCAACATGCTTTAAAAATGTTCCATTGGTCAGCTCTATTATTCTAATTTTTGACATGCAATTTTTTAATGAAAGTATATATTGTCTCTATCAATTCCACTTACTAAACTCTCTAAAAAAACCCAATGAACTATTATCTATCATCCTTGTCATGAAAAGAACCCTCTTAATTTATTAGTATCTATGTTTAATTACAGAATTTCACATGATAAAATATTTTTAAACACTTTGAGACAGGAAATACACACTTTAAAATGTGTTATTGGTAATTATTAGAAAAGTATAGGAATGTATCAGCTTGTTGATAATTTTTTAATAAAAATAAAAAATGTGAGCCTCTAAAATGTCCATCAATAAAATATTAAGTATTTTAGTACAATAGAAAATTATACAGCCATTAGCACAATCACCTAATGCTCAAATAAGAGATTAAGTAACTTGAAGAGATTTCCACAAAATAGCAAAGTGGTTGTCTCTTTTTAGAAGAACTGTGGGTAATTTTTACATATTTCCTTATGTATTTATTACATTTTTAACACTTATATTTAAGTTGAATCGATTTATAATCAGAAATACATATATTTATTCACTCATAAATATAATGCATCTTAACATTTATCTTGTGAAAATTATTTAATCATAGCTCTAAAAATAATATCCTCCAAAAGAAATTTAAAGTCACTTATATTCTTGTTTATTAAAATGTATTTTATCTTACTTTTAACAGGAACATGAATAATAGAGGGATTTTATATAACATTGACTGTATTCAATTTTGACATATTTGACATATTTTAGAATATGCTTTCATTTTTATATGCATAATATGCATGAAATATATAAATGTGTGTGTTTGTACACATACTTCATAAGTTATATATGTCATTTCTACCAAATGGCACCTTAAATCTTAATGAAAATGGAAAGTTATTTCACTTTTTCCATAAGTGTAGGTAGCGCCCAACACACTGTAGATGCAAAGTTCTATGCTTATCTATTAAATATAGGGTATTAATAATGCTCAAAATATCTTTATCCTTGATTATTTTTAACTATCTGTTTTATCAGTTTTTAATGATGATAAATTTAACTATCTCTCTAGCAATTTTGTTTTTTCTTCACAGATTTGTGCCTATAATATTACATAGCAAAGTTTACTTCCTGACTTTCTTTAACAGTTACCAGTAAGCAACAACATTCTCTTTCTTTCATAATATTGTATACTAAATTATATGCTATGTGACATTATCATTTGTTCCTTATTCTATTTTGATTTATATTTTTGGGGAATAGTGCATTTCACTATTAATTATGGAATTAATTCTATCTGTTTGTAACTGCCTACTAAGTTTTCAAGCACCATTTATTATAAGTTCATCTGCAGTCTTTATCATATACTAAATTTCCATACGTATCTGAGTTTGTTTCTTGGCTCTCTATTCTATTTCACAATTTCATTTGTCATTCCATGCACCAGTGCCAAATTACTTGAGGTATAGAGAATTTATAGTAATGTCTGGAAAAGCGTGTCCCCACCTACTTTCTGTTTTCATTATTTTTATTGCTATTCTTACAGTTATTTTTTTCCACATGAACTTTAGTATGACCTAGTCTAACTCCATTAAAAATAGTTGCTATTTTTTGGAAGGTATGAGTTAAAATTTAGAGAAAAACTTAGGCAGTACTAACATCTTTATGATGTTGGATTGCCCTATCTAAAAACAAGAAATATCTTTCCATTTGTTTAAGTCTACTTTAGTGTTTTTCAGAAATGTTTTAAACTTTTCTTTAAATAATCCTATTAATTGTTTGTTAATTATACATCTAAATAACTTACTGAGTTTTAAAAGTTAGTTTCATCATTGATTTTTAAGAGTTTTCCAGGTATATGTTCCTGTCAGCTACAAATAAAGATAGTTTTACTTCTTCACCTATTCTTATGCCTCAGCCATTTCTCTTGATTAATTGCGTTGATTAATACTTGCATTAATGTGCTGAATAGAAGCAGATGTTGTGGGCATACTGCCCTAGTTCTTGGAAACATTACTACTCATTAAATGTTACTGAATTTAAAAGATATGTGGGTGTCTGTGCATGCAGGTAAACGTATGTGTGTAGATATGTCTGTGTGTGTATATACATAATACACATATATATACAAAACATGTATTATGTATATATATGTAATACACATATGTGTATTACATATATGCATGTGTGTATACATGTATACATATATACACACACGTATATATGTAATATACGTAATACATAATACATATGTATGTATATGTACATAATATGTATATTATGTAATATGTAATATGTAGATAATACAGGTGTATATTTGTGTATATATAATACATATGTGTATGCATGTATACACACTTATATGAACACGTATATGCAACACATTAGTTCATGTATGTGGAAAGTTTTGTTAGATTATAAATTTAAATATTTCTTTTCTACTTTTTTTTGTTGTTCTTCAGGAAGTAAATTACTATGAATGTTATTCTTTCTTTTTCTGTCTCTTATTTCTACTACTTTCCATTTTTACCTTTTCACTTCTTTTTTAAAGTCCCATTTTTATGCTATCCTGCTAAAGACTGCTATCCTGCCTTTTGTCAATACTCATAATTAAAATTCAATTTATCCTCCCTTGGCTATTGTATAAATTGTTATTAATTTCTGACATCATTTTGTCTGTTTCTTTTCTGTTCAGTCAACTGTCTTTGTCTTTATTCCTGGGTTTGGTTTTGTTGTTTATTTCTATTCTTAGTTTCTGAATTTATGAATCAAGGTTGTTTCTCATATTCCTAAGTGCTTCTATTAATATATGTATTTCATCTTAATGGTCATTATATAGTTTTCTGTTTTGTAATTATTTTTCAGGGAGAATTTTCCTCAAGTGATATATGCCAGCAATATTTTTCTTGTTCAGTAAGAAATATCCCTCAGAACCTTGTTCTAAACACTGGCTTACAGAGATCTCTCTTTGAGAAACAGTTCCATTCACTGAGAGAAAATAGCGCATAATGCATAGGCTTAGGGTTAGGGTCAGGGTTAGGGTTCATCAGTGTTTCTACAACATTCCTAGTTTAATGGTGCTCTTCTCTGTCATTGTTGCAAGGTTCAATTTCTTAGCTTATGTTTCTGTTTGTTTTGTCAGTGTTAGTGAAAAAAATTAAACATATATTAAAAAGGTGGAATTTTCTTTTTATTTTAGGACTGGCCAACATATAGTTTTCATAGCATAATGTCAAGTTTCCATAAGAAAAATTTCTTTTAAGGTTTCTTATTTAGCGTGATATATTTTCATGGGAAACGGATGCCAAACTTGATGGGGTAATTGAGGCACTCTGTACAAATCTGCAGGTAAATGTCAAGCACACTGACAGGGCATGGTGCAGAGTTCTGAGGCCAGCAGCATGAAAAAACTACACCATCTCTTTTCTAGAGGGACAAAAGGCAAGCCATTGTCTGAAACCTGGGGAGGCTGCCAAATAGAATGGCAGCCAGTAGGAGTTCTGGCCATCCATAGATGGGCACAACTGAAACGGAGAGGTTAATTTGATCAGGTCTGCCTGCCCTGCTTGCTTCTGGTCACTTGCTTTTTGTTATATATTTTTTCCTTTTTCCATGAAGCTGAAGGCCATGGTCACTGAAGGCTGCACTGATGAACACTAAAACTTAACCTTCCCTAGCTACGTTATAGATAACATTCATAGGTCACCATGGTAATGGCCACTTCAGTTGTTTTTCAGGAACTTGGACCAACCCTGTCCAGCTCAAACCAGCTGAGACCATGGACCCTTCAACTGGATCTGTACAAATGCCAAAGAAATGACCTTTGACTTCAGAAGGCCAAAAACTCCACCCTCAGATCACCATTTAAGCCACACACAATATATCTTCCATATATCAAAGACACTATGAAAAAGTATAAAGATCAATGACAAACTAAAGAACTTTACAACATTTATGACAGCATAATAGTTAATAGAGAGATTTTAAAATATACATGTCATACAAATCTTGAGAAAGAACACAAAAACAAAATATAATTTAAAAAAAGATGTACATAGATATTTTAAGGGAAATTTAAATACTGATTACTACTAAACTTAAGATAAATTCACCAGTAATTTTTAAAAAATCAATTAAATACCAGGCTATAGTGAGCTAGCGTTGCCACTTTCTGTACATATGTCCTATGAAATACCATGAACCCTGACTATGCTTGCCCAGAACTAACTTGTTACTTGATTTTTCCCATTTTTCTCCACTGCCAATAGCATTTCCCCACTACTTAAACCACCCCACTTCCCTAACCCATGATAAGCCTTATCTTCAGGGAGGAGGATGTGAAAATTGTTCTTCCACCTCCTCACTCAGCAGCCTTGCAAATGAATCTTTTCTCTTTTGCAAAACCCATGTCAATGTGATTGCTTTACCTTGTGCAGGCAAAACAATCCTGGACCTGGCCAGTAACCCAACCAAACCAGGTGAGCTCACAAGACTGGAGCCCGTTTAGTAAGCATGCTCCTCCCCTCTCTGTCTCATCATACACTCAGTCAATTGGCACATTTTGAGTGCTCACTATAGCCTGGTATGTAATTGATTTTTTAAAAATTACTAGTGAATTTATCCTAAGTTTAGTCGTAATTGTTATTTCATTTTCCTTTAAAATACCCATCCATATCTTTTTCCGATTTTATTTTGTTTTTATGTTCTTTCTTAAGATTTGTATGTCATGTATATTTTAAATATCTATTAACTATTATTTTCTCATAAATATTGTAATTTCTTTTAGTTTGTCATGGATCTTTATACTTTTTTGTAGTGCCTTTGATATACAGAAGATATATTGTGTGTGACTTAGTATACTAGGGTTTACTATATTATTTCTTCTGAAGACTGTTTCTTCTGGAGAAATCAGAAATACCTTCTTTATTTAGGAGTCTAATACATTTGTAGATTTTATTTTGATATCGACTATTTCAGCACAAATTTTAAAATAGTTCAAAATGTGTTCATGCGTGGTTTGATAAAAATTCTAAGATGTCTGTGTGTGTATGTATGTATATGTGTGTGTCTGTTTTGTTAAAAAGGTAAAGTGAGGCAACACAAAATTCTAGAGTTGCCTTGAGCAAACATTAATTCACAAGTCAGGTGCACCAAATCAGAAGTATTTCAGAATCTCCAACAGGAAAACACAAGAGAAAGGACCTTATAGGATTAACAAGGAAGTAAAGCAAAGAAAATATTTGATTGGTTACAGTTATACAGTTGCCTTATTTGGTCTAACCATTGGAAGGTCTCTAGTTATGTAAGTTTACTGGTCACTTCTGATTGGTTGCAATTAAGTTATGTTTTTCTTTAATATAGGTGCTATGGTCTGAATGTGTCCCCCAAAATTCATATGTTGAAAATTTAATCCTTAATGCCACAGTGTTGGGAGGTGGGGAGTAATGGGAGGTGCTTACGTCATGAGGGTTCTGCCTTCATGAATGAATTAATGCCTCTATAAAAAGGGCTTTTGAAGGCTGGGCTTGGTGGTTCACGCCTGTAATCTCAGCATTTTGGGAGGCTGAGGCGGGTGGATCACCTGAGGTCAGGAGTTCGAGACCAACCTGGGCAACATGGTGAAATCCCATCTCTACTAAAAATACAAAAATTACCTGGGCTGGTGGTGCACACCTGTAGTCTCATGCTACTCAGGAAGCTGAGGCAGGAGAATTGCTTGAACCTGGGAGGCAGAGGTTGCAGTGAGCTGAGATCATGCCATTGCACTTCAGCCTGGGTGACAGAGTGACATCCTGTCTCAAAAATTAAATAAATAAATGAATAGGGCTTGCAGGAGTGAGTTCACCCTCTTCCATTCTTTTGCCATGAGGACATAGCAAGAAGACCCTCACCAAATACCAGATGCTGGCCCCTTGATCTTAAAACTTCCCAGCCTCAGAACTATGAGAAATAATTTTTTGTTCTCTGTTGCGGGAAGTAAGGGACCCTGAACGGAGGGACTGGCTGGAGCCACGGCAGAGGAACATAAATTATGAAGACTTCCTGGACATTTATCAGTTCCCAAATAATACTTTTATAATTTCTTATGCCTATCTTTACTTTAATCTCTTAATCCTGTTATCTTCGTAAGCTGAGGATGTATGTCACCTCAGGACCACTGTGATAATTGTGTTAACTGTACAAATTGATTGTAAAACATGTATATTTGAACAATACGAAATCAGTGCACCTTGAAAAACAGCAGAATAACAGCGATTTTTAGGGAACAAGAGAAGACAACCATAAGGTCTGACTGCCTGCAGGGTCAGGCAAAAAGAGCCATATATTTCTTCTTGCAGAGAGCCTATAAACGGACATGCAAGTAGGGAAGATATTGCTAAATTCTTTTCCTAGCAAGGAATATTAATAATTAATACCCTGGGGAAGGAATGCATTCCTGGGGGGCAGTCTATAAACAGCCACTCGGAGTATCTGTCCTATGCGGTTGAGATAAGGACTGAGATATGCCCTGGTCTCCTGAAGTACCCTCAGGCTTATCAGGGTAGGGAAAAAACTCCACCCTTGCAAATTTGTGGTCAAACCAGTTCTCTGCTCTCGAACTCTGTTTTCTGTTGTTTAAGATGTTTATCAAGACAATATGTGCTCAGCTGAACATAGACCCTTATCAGTAGTTCTGATTTTGCCCTTGTCCTGTTTCCTCAGAAGCATGTTATCTTTGTTCTGCCTTTTGCCCTTTGAAGCGTGCGATCTTTGTGACCTACACCCTGTTCGTACACCCCCCAACTTTAAAATCCTCAATAAAAACTTGCTGGTTTTGTGGCTCAGGTTGGCATCATGGTCCTACCGATATGTGATGTCACCCCCAGAGGCCCAGCTGTAAAATTCCTCTCTTTGTACTCTTTCTCTTTATTTCTCAGCCGGCCAACACTTATGGAAAATAGAAAGAACCTATGCTGAAATATTGGGGGCGGGTTCCCCCGATAGTTCTCTATAAGTTACCCAGTCTCAGGTATTCTGTTAGAGCAGCACAAAGGGATTAGGAAAATATGCATGTGTAATAAATAGCTCAAATTAAGTTTTGATTATGTTTATAAATCAAGCAAGGTTAAGATCCCCTATAAGGTCTAACTAGCTTACATGATTAATTTTTTTTTTTTAAGAGACACTGCCTATGTTGCCCAGGTTGAAATACAGTGGCTACTCACAAGCGCAATCATGGTGCACTGAAGCCCTAAAGGGATCTCAAGCAATCTGCCTGCCTCAGCCCCCTGGAATGGCAGGGACTAAAGAATGAGCCACTGCATTCAGCTTAATTATCCCAATAATTTTTTAAATAATCCATTCCTTTTCATTTTAATTCTATGTATCACATTAGAGTCTCTTTAATGACTATGTAAATTGTTTCATTGATCTATTTATGCCAACATCACATGATTTTAACTCTTATAGATTTAATCATTTTTGGCTTCTGATAAGGCAAGTCACTTTGAAGCCTGTTTCTGTTCACTGATTCCCACGTTTTACACTGAGTTCTTTATTTGGTCTTTCCATCAGTTTCCCACTCAGAGACAATAAATCCAGTAGAGACCCTGTGTTGAGAAAACTGGGGTGGAGAGTAAGAAAACAACAGTTTGCAGAACACTTTAAGAAAACTAAAAAATGTACCCTGTCCAATTAGGCAACATAAATCCCTCTTTATATTGCATTTATGTAAGTTGGATAAAGTGATCAAATCATCTGTGAACCTCTTTGAATTGTCATTCATAAAGTATAAAATGGCTTTATTCCTGTCAGAAAAAAATGTATACACATAATTGTTTGGTTTGATGTATGTACTTTCTAGTCAATGTAATACAGTTTTGAATTGGGAGTTAAAGGTAACCTCAACCAGGGAGGAAAATTAATACCCTGCTTCAGCTCTGATTCAGAGGAAAGTTAAGAGTTGTTTCCACACTTAAAAAAATTAGTGCTAACATGTCCAAAAGCCATGCCTGCTTTCAATGATGAACATGTTTTCTTGTTCCATCTTGGGAAACTGGGCTCCTGAATGTATATCGCATCTCTCATTCTCTGGACCACCTGCTAATTTGCTGTAAGCAACAGAATTGATGATAGTATTTTTGTTTCTTAACCCACTAAATTACCTTCATTCCCCAAATGGTCTAATTGGTATTCCATTCTTCAAAGCATCAGTAGTTGGTTTTCATAAGGAAATGAAAATGACAGGCGAAGTTCTTGGCCTGAGCTCCTTGCGAGCAAAGCAGTCATGTGACAGGCTTGCTGTCTACAACCTCTGCAGAAGATGAAGCCTTGCTCATCATTACCTGATGGGGTCCTATATTAAGGCTTAGAAACCCCAATTTAATTTGATTAACTATTCTGCCGTCAACTTGTTAGCTGTTGCTCTTCCAACCCCAGACTTCAGAGACCTTTTACAGAGCCTGTTATAAATAAATGCATTTGACAATCTACAGGATATGATTTGTCTTCTAATAATACTGACAAAAACAACTGGATTTAAAGATGAAAGTGTCTGCCATGAGGAGTACGGGGACAGCAGGAATGAAAAGGAATATTTAAGAATGCAAAAACCAGTCAGACAGCACAGCTCTGAGCCTGGCAGTGCCCCTGCAGGGGCACTGGTTCACATGCTGATTGTGAGCAAGGAAAATCTCATTTAAACCAAGTGGGAAATTATAGTTACCAAGTTGACGATTACTTCATTCATATATATATATTTCACTGCTACATTCCCATCATTGCATGGGTCACTTTTGACCTTAGGGCTCTTTACAATTCTTGATTTCATTAGTATAAAAAATATGAACTCTGAACACTGTCGGGCGTGACTTCCAGGCAGAAAGATCAACCGTGTGAACCAAGCTGAGTATCTTCACCAGCCCCTGAGTTGCTGCACTGTGAACTGGGTATACAGACTGCTAATGCTTTGTTAGGAGTTCTTTCAACATGGAAACTACTTGATACATCAGCTTTGAAGCAATGCGGCATACGCATGCTCTAGAAAGGTAAAATGCTAAGGTCTGTCCTGCTGAAGAGTCCAGTGGCCACACCAGTTTCACATTACACAGAACACAGCTTCTTCACAACCTCTGACCATCTCCATCCTCTGAAGTGGTCCACTGGATCTAATGTCCCAACATGCTGTGCTATTTGTAACATGCTGAGGGCTCTGCCCCACTTACATTCTTTACCTCTTCTATATGATGCATTAAAATATTTTGTGATCCATAACGAGTCTGATTTGTTAAATTATTCATTTACCCAAATGTTTATGAGCATCTATTACAGGGAAGTCTTGGTGACAGGTGGCAGAATTTAAAGGAGATACATGATAGTCATTGCTTTGCCTCCTCTGAGCTAAATATCCTGCAAAGGAGACAGGTGCATTACATTAGAAATTACAGTAATAATTATTAAAAAGCCAAGAAACAACAGATGCTGGTGAGGCTGTAGAGAAATAGGAATGCTTTTACATTGTTGGTGGGAATGTAAATTAGTTCAACTATTATGGAAGACATTGTGACAATTCCTCAAGGATCTAGAACCAGAAACACCATTTGGCCCAGCAATCCCATTACTGGGTATATACCCAAAGGAATATAAGTCATTCTGTTATAAAGATACATGCACACGTATGTTTATTGCAACACTATTCACAATAGCAAAGACATGGAACCAACCGAAATGCCCATCGATGACAGACTGGATAAAGAAAATGTGGTACACACACACCACTCTATGTGTATGATATACACTATGTGTATATCATATGTGGTACTATGCAGCCACAAGAAGAAATGAGATCATGTCCTTTGCAGGGACAAGGATGAAGCTGGAAGCCATCATCCTCAGTAGATTAACACAGGAACAGAAAACCAAACACCACATGTTATCATAAGTGGAAACTGAACAATAAGAACACATGGACACAGGGAGGGGAACAACACACACTGGGGCCTGTCGGGCGGTGGTGGGGAGGGGAGGGAGAGCATCAGGACAACTAGCTAATGCATGCAGGCCTTAAAACCTAGGTGACGGGATGATAGGTGCAGTAAACCACCATAGCACATGCATACATATGTAACAACCCTGCACATTCTGCGCATGTGTCCCAGAACTTAAAGTAAAAAAGTAAAAAACAAATCGGAATAAAAGTCAATTTTAAAAAATTTAAAAAGAAATTACAGTAATAGTTGATGAGTGCTGTCATAGCATTTGAAGGGGCAATAAGAACATATATGTAGGCCGGGCGCAGTGGCTCATGCCTGTAATCCCAGCACTTTGGGAGGCTGAGGCAGGTGGATCACGAGGTCAGGATATTGAGACCATCCTGGGTAACACAGTGAAACCCCGTCTCTACTAAAAAATACAAAAAATTATCTGGGCCTGGGGGTGGGTGCCTGTAGTCCCAGCTACTTGGGAAGCTGAGGCAGGAGAATGGCGTGAACCCAGGGGGCGGAGCTTGCAGTGAGCAGAGATTGCACCATTGAACTTCAGCCTGGGCGACAGAGCGAGACTCTGTCTCAAAAAAAAAAAAAAAAAAAAAAAAAGAAGAACATATATGTAGCAAGATAGCCTACACTAGTCAAGTGGGACTAGATAATGCATTTAATAAACAGTTGTTGGGCATCATTAAATGCATAAGATGACATTTAGGCTGGTGCCTGAAAGATTATTTGGACTTGGTTCAATGAAAAGGTGACAATGTAGGGGCAGGAATGGAGGTCAAGATAGAGAGAAGAACAACCATGGAAGAAGACCAGAAACCAAAGAGAGCAAGGCATTTAGAGAAATTCAGATAAGATCAGGACAGCTGTCAAAGACTAGTGATCAGAGCAGGACTGGAGGAGGAGGCCATGAGAGGTCTTTTAAGCCAAGCTAAAGAATCTGAAATGTACATTGATATAGCCCAGTGGTTACATTGCTCACAAGATGCCTACTAAATAAGAGTAGACTTTTTTTGTATTATTAACATCAAATTTATACATTTCTGAGCACTAATTGAAGATGTCTTGTGAAAAACTGTGGCACACAGGTCTTTCTATAGAAATACTCAATAAAGGTCTAATGATTCTAAAACTGGATGATTTTGCCAAATACAAATTATAATGTCATCTCTTTGTAATGATTTTGTAATATACATATTTGCAAATTTCCTTACTGGTCATCTTAGCAAATAGTATTTTATCTTTAAAAACAGTTCTTTAACCTTTATCAAAAGCTTAATTTCAAAAAAAAAAACTTTAAAGTCACTGAAATAGATGATTGCAAATTTCCAGTGCACTGAAATATAATCATAAGCACATTGAGTGGAAATGCTATAAATAAAAATAACTCATCAGGTTGTTTTTCTAACCAGAGGAATGCAGAGTAATTAAACCAAGAAATTAAAATCTATAAAAATAAAAATGTAATGCTATACATCAGATTTACTGATGATTTGCAAGGAACTGATTGATCTCACAGTTTTGAAAAAGGCTGGTTTGGTCAAATTGTAGTCAATGCCTTGTTTTGCTTATCTCAAAGATTGTCTTTCATTAGCAAATTTACAAAGTACATTTTCATGTCAACTTAAATTGAATAATCCATACAGTTAAAAAGTGTGTGTTTAGGTGTGTGTGTTTCTGGCAAAGAGCTTCACAGGAGTGATTCTCATTAAAACATCTGATAGTATGATTTAATTAAAAATAATCTTCATAGTTACAAAACTACAGGCTAATGCCAATGGCAAATAATTCATGCCATTCTACTTAATATTATTGATGAACAATTATAAATGGTTGAAATACACAACGGGTATTTTTTTCTGTGTGTACATGTAGAACACAATTCAAAGACAAGGCTTTATACAGAAATAGAGAATCATAAATTGATTGTAATTATCTATGAAAAAATATAAAATTTTTCATAATATTCCAGGTATGCTTTGAAATATCTTCTTACAGATTTCTTAGCATGTACCAATAATCAACTTGTATTATTTTCTATATGCAAATGATAATTTCATTAATTTAGCCACTTCTCAATGTGTCAGTGTTTCTTGACTAATGCATACATTTTTATTTTTATTTCAGTGTTTATAGGGAGTGCTGAAAAATGCTGAAAGTGTTAGTTTTTGAAAATGCAGTCAGGTGTCACTTAACATCAGGGATATGTTCTGAGAAATGCATCGTTAGGCAATTCTGTTGTGCCAACATCACAGGGTATACTTACACAAGCACAGTATCACCTACTACACCCCTAGGCTATATGATATAAACCATTGTTCCCAGGCTGCAAATCTGTACAGCATGCTACTGTACTGAATACTGCTGGCAATTGTAACACAATGGTAAGTATCTGTGTATCTAAACATATCAAAACACGGTAAAAATATGGATTTTTAAAATGGTACATCTCTATAGAATTGTTGCCATGAATTGAGCTGGCCTGATGGGAAGTTTCTCTGAGTAAAGGTGAATGCCTAGGACATTACTGTACACTACTGTAGACTTCATCAATGCTGTACATTTAGGCTACAATAAATTTATTAAAAATAAAGTGTGCTACAACATTACAACAGCTATGATGTCACTAGGCGATAGGATTTTTTCAGCTCCATTATAATCTTATGGAACCACCATTATATATGCGGTCCATCATTGGCCCAAATGTCATTATGCAGCACCTGACTGTATATATACATATATACACCTACAGTCACACACACACACACACACACACACACACACACACGCATGCACACAAAAGAATACCAATCTATTTCTATGGATAAAGACAAAAGGAAAAGGTTTGTCCTCCTCCTCCACTCCTCTTTTGATTAAAAGAGATGGGCTTCTGTCACGTGAAAAACTGGGAGCAAAGAAAGGAAGTAGCTCTTTCCATATAGCAACTCTCTCTTGGAAGCAGCTGCCCCACCCCTCCATGCTCTTTCAGAAG
Source organism: Homo sapiens (assembly GCF_000001405.40). Taxonomy (NCBI): domain Eukaryota; kingdom Metazoa; phylum Chordata; class Mammalia; order Primates; family Hominidae; genus Homo; species Homo sapiens. The sequence goes on along the minus strand of NC_000016.10, from coordinate 76,131,879 downwards.
AGTAAAGCCGGTAGGGCAAGGTGGCTCACACCTGTAATCCCAGCACTTTAGGAGGTGAAGACAGGTGGATCACCTGAGGTCAGGAGTTTGAGACCAGCCTGGCCAATATAGTGAAACCCCATCTCTACTAAAAATACAAAAATTAACTAGGCGTGGTGGCATACGCCTGTAGTCCCAGCTACTCGGGAGGCTGAGGCAGGAGAATCACTTAAATCTGGGAGGTGGAGGTTGCAGTGAGCCAAGATAGCGCCGCTGCACTACAGCCTGGGAGAAAGAGTGAGACAGAGTGAGACTCTGTCTCAAAAAAAAAAAAAAAAAAAAAAAAAGGAAGAGTAAAGCCTAGGGAGGCAAGAAAGAGTAAAGCCCTATATCCTTTCTTGGTGCCATGAAGTCCTGTCGACATTTCTGTGAACAGTCCCTTTATCAAATGCTCTAAGGAGCAGAGAGCACACAATGGTGTTGCTAACATTTTAGATTTACAGATGGGAATATGTTCTAATTGATATTTCCCTAAAAATGTTACATTATCTAATCAGTCTTGGGAATTCATCACATTGAGTGCATAAATTTCCCACCCATATAAAAATCAGGAGTGGATATAAACGACAAAAGTGATGGATTATGCTACATATCTCCTGTTAATCTCTGCAGCAGTGAGCATTAGCAGGATTCAGAGGCAGGAGAAGAGGAGGTTGGTGGCTTAATTTTTGGCTTCTTTCTTGTTGGGTCGCTTCAACTGTCCATCACAAAAGGCCATGTCTCCTTTCCATATGGCTTCACTCCCTGGGTTTCCTTGAGTGTAAGGGAGGCAGAGGCTCCCTCACTGTCGGTAGATCTGTGGCACTGCATTACTCTTTGTTGGTTTCTCTAAGCCCTCCTCACCCTTTGTAAATATTTTGCTTGTTAACTTTCCCCAGTTTTCCTGTTTTATTTTTTTAACTAAAAAAGTTAGCTGAAGGTAAAAACATGAAATAGTCATATACTTTAAATATTTTATCCTAACTTAAAAAAAGCAAAAGATTTTTCAGTCTTTCAAAATAGGTTTACTGCCTTTTGTTTTCTATTATCTTTCTTGTGTAGAGTTTATTCCCAATACATTATTCCATTGTTTCTGGCTTTTTTTTTTTTTTAAGTAAAGTGAGAACATAAAAACACTTGTGAAAAATATATTCATGAAGAATTGTAGATTATTTTTCTTCCTTACTTTTTTACATCTTTAAATCAACAGCAAGACCAGCTTGAGCAACATAGTGAGACTCTGTCTGTACAAAATTTATACAATTAGCTGGGTGTGGTGGTAGTAGTCCCAGCACCTGTAGTCCCAGCTACTGGGGAAGCAGAGATGGGAGGATCACTTGAGCCCAGGAGTTGAAGGTTGCAGTAAGCTCTGATTACACCACTGCACTCCAGCCTGTGTAACAAAGACCCGTCTCTAAAAAGGAGAAAAAAATCAACAGCAAAATTTTTAAATGACCTTCCCTATCAAATTTTTCGAATCCATTCCACTTGGTTTTTATAGAAACAACTATCTTTGCATGAATTTCTTTTCTTTTTTAACTTATTTATTTATTTATTTTTGAGATGGAGTCTTGTTTTCTGTCTCCCAGCCTGGAGTACAGCAGCACGATCTCAGCTCACTGCAACCTCTGCAGCCCAGGTTCAAGCGATTCTCCTGCCTCAGCCTCCCGAGTAGCTGGGGCTACATGTGCCTGCTACCAAGCCCGGCTAATTTTTGCATTTTTAGCAGAGACAGGGTCTCACCATGTTGGCCAGGCTGGTCTCGAACTCCTGGCCTTGCCCACCTTGGCCTCCTAAAGTTCTGGTATTACAGGTGAATTTACTTTCAATCAGCAAAATACAGAATGAAAATACACAATATAATAACATGTCCAACTGGCCTAAACAGGTTTGGGAACAAAAACCACTGACAAAGATAAGCACACAGCTCTACTGGAAGAAGGAAAAGTGAAAAATGCAGGCAACCAGGCACAGTGGCTCAACATGCTATGGGAATCAATGAATATATTTTACCAAGGAATAGTGAATATCAGTGAAGTCAGCACATTGGTTAGGCAGACTTTGGTTGGGAGAGTTACTGTTAGGTTGGCGCAAAAGTAATTGGGTTTATACCAACCTAATAGTAAGTCTCTTAGTTTTGTACCAACCTAATATAATTGCGTTTTTGCCGTTACTTTTACACTAACCTAATATAAGTGTATCCGTGGAAGGGATGAGAGTGCTAAGGAAGAGTGTGTAGAAAATGATCTGAAAGATCTAGGACAGAGTCACAAGGCATACCAGCATGTCAGAGTTGAATCAAGACGGGGACCATCTGAGAAACAGGATTAGGAGAACAAGGTCAGGAATGTTGGAGGTTTACCAGGAATTATTTGTTACTTAAAAAAGTGTATTTCATATCCTAATGTAGTTAAGTTCACAAATCATTTTTAGTTATATCATAGCTTGGCTGCTTTCTGCTGAGATGTAGGGGAGTGTTTGCTTCTTGAGAAACACGGTATTTGGAGATGAGCGCAGGACAGTAAATTGAAGAGTCCTGGCTGTGAATTCTGCCTCTGACTCTGATGTGTCACAATAACTCAGTGTCTCTGAGCCTCACTTACCTTAACTGTAAATATGAACAGCGAGGATTCATACAGCAGCCATGAAGATCAATATAAGGGGTCTTGCACAAAACTTACTCTTCAAAAGTGCTCAAAAATATGTTTCCCTCTTTCTTCTTCAGTCTATTATATCTAGAATGCATTAGAAGGCAGTTGAATGCCAAAAAGGAACTCCCAGCCATTATTTCACAGCATATGTGTGAATTGCTAGCTTTGCTCTTATTGTAAGTGGCTCGGTTTAATTTCTCTACAACTGAGGGGAAATGTCCGGCTTCATAGCCCAGAATACATGCTTTGTGATGTCTTGATGGATTTTATTGATTTTATTTCACACCACTTTTGGTCATATTTCTGAATTCAGGTGTTCTTCCATGCCATGCCATTTTAAGGGTTCAGTTGAGCTTCTGGTTTTGTGCAATGTAGCAGTCCTGTTGAGACCCAATTCTCCTCAGTAAGACATCTTCCTGTGGGGAGTCATAGCACTAACCTCCATGTCCATAAAAGTATCTTCTGTAGCAACAGCACCCCTCCAAAGTGAAACGAAAGGTCCATCATTTCCAGATACCCTAACCAATGCTTCTTCTCACTGTTAAGCTGATTAACAGTATATTTAATGCATATATAGAAAGACATGCACACATATGTTCATTGCAGCACTATTCACAATAGTAAACACACGGAGTCAACCTAGATGCCCATAAGTGGTTTTTGACTGCATAAAGAAAATGTGGTACATATATACCATGGAATACTATGCAGCCTTAAAAAAGAATGAAATTGTGTCCTTTGCAGCAACATGGATGGAGCTGGAGGCCACTATCCTAACCAAATTAATACAGGAACAGAAAACCAAATACTACATGTTCTCACTAATAAGTGGGAGCTAAACACTGAGTAAAAATGGACACAAAGAAGGGAACAACAGACACCAGGACCTACTTGAGAGCAGAGGGCGGGAGGAGAGAGAGGACTGAAAAACAACCTATCGGGTATTATGTTGATTACCTGGGTGACAAAATTATCTGTACACCAAACCCCTGTGACACACAATTTACTCATGTAACAAACCTGCACATGTACTTCTTGAACCTAAAATAAAAGTTGGATGGGGAAAAAATTTTTAAAAAGAAAATTTAGTTCCATTAATCTATAGTCTCATTCCATTTCGCATGTATTCTTACACTATTTTATTTTGTCAACTTGTTACATTTTTCATGTTATCTATAGACCATAAATTACTATCAAGGAGAGATTCATACACTCTGTTCTTTAATAGCATTCTAGTAAATAGTGTGGGACCTGAGAATAGGTTAAAATATGAATGCAATGTATTAATAAATGGATAAAACTAATGTAATCCTTTATGTCATCTAACAGCTAATTTTAGGCACAAACTACAAAAATAGTAGAAGGAAGATACAAAATTGCAATTTTCTTTCTCTCCTAACTATTTTCATAAATCTAGAAGTTTTAAAAATAAGTTTCAAAGTTGTATGGGACCAAAATTTTCCAAAGATAAAACCCAAAATAGTTCCAGAGATTCATCTGTTCATGACTTGCTCACAGTGATTTGTCCACCCACCTGACCTGCAGAATTTCAACTATCACATCAGAAGAACTTTAGAGTCAGCAATTGTGGCAAAATGCAACTTGTAGCCAGCACTGAGAATATGGATTGTCCACATCAAAAACTCAGAGAGTTCGTTACCGAAATGTACCAATGTAGAGTTTTTATATTCAATTACTACTGTTCTTGGCCGGGCTTGGTGGCTCACGCCTGTAATCCCAGCACTTTGGGAGCCTGAGGTGGGAGGATCACGAGGTCAGGAGTTCAAGATCAGCCTGACTGACATGGTGAAACCCCGTCTCTACTAAAAATACAAAAATTAGCCAGGGGTGGTGGCACGCGCCTGTAATCCCAGCTACTCAGGAGGCTGAGGCAGGAGAATAGCTTGAACTGGGGAGGAGGAGGTTGCAGTGAGCTGAGATCACGCCACTGCACCCCAGCCTGGGCAACAGAGTGAGACTCCGTATCCAAAAGAAAAAAAAAAGACAATTATTACTATTCCTAAGGAGAAATTGATGGATAGTGCGTGATGATTACTATCATGACAGATTCTGAGATATTGACTCCAACCTGTTTTGAAATTTTTATTTATTAAAATATGTTCAAAACTGCAATTCAAATTCAAAAGTTTACTCTTGATGTTGTGAATAGCATTATTAAACTCCATGCCCCAGCTACCCACGTAACAACAAATAGAAAAATAATGATGGCAGCTGTTTTTATCCAAATTTGTAGTCTTGCATGTGCTGACTTTATTTTTTCATAATAGAAAATAATATTTTCTCTATAATACATGATAGAATATTATGTGTATTAATTAAAATCTTTGACATGACAATAATCTGACTAGGTCAAGAACATATCTTGGCCAGGCGCGGTGGCTCAAGCCTGTAATCTCAGCAATTTGGGAGGCCAAGGCAGGTGGATCACGAGGTCAGGAGATTGAGACCATCCTGGCTGACACGGTGAAACCCCATCTCTACCAAAAATAAAAAAAATTAGCTGGGCGTGGTGGTGGGCACCTGTAGTCCCGAGCTACTCAGGAGGCTGAGGCAGGAGAATGGTGTGAAACCGGGAGGCGGAGCTTGCAGTGAGCCAAGATCATGCCACTGCACTCCAGTCTGGGTGACAGAGCGAGACTCCATCTCAAAGATAAAAATAAAAATGAAAAAAAGAAAGAAAGAAAGAACATATCTCAATTAGCATCTTACTATGAAGTTAGTCATCTTTGACTCTCTATGCCGAATGATTGCATAAAATAAGGAAAACACATAAAATTCTTTGACAATAGTTCAGCCTTGTTTCCCTCTACTGTACCAAACTTAGAAAGCACACTAATTTAAGAAAAAAAAAAAAAGACACAACACAATTAGTAGGGTAGAAAAAAATTGTCGTAATCACTGTGGATGTCCAGCTTTGAATAGAACTGAAATTTGCTAAGTTTCTAATATGTGCTAAGTACTCTGTATAATTATCTAATGACAATAAATTAGAAGTGAATGTTATAGTCACTCTCACTAGGGGAAGAACAGGTTTACCTGTTTATCTAAGGTCACACACCTGGCTCATTAAATCCAGGTGGATTAATTCCAAAGTACTTGCACCCTCCAAGACACTAAATAGTGACTCAAGTTGGTACAGAGTTGAGCAATGGAAGATGACTCCTCCAATTAGTGTTTCAAGCAAACAATGCAACAACAGCAATATCCTCTGAGGCACAGATATATGAAAAGAATTTGAAAATCCCCACTCCCCCTACAATCAACCCAATGGTCCCCTCTCCTCTGCTTGATACCCAAGACCCTGCAGGAAGGATGTTATGCATGTGCAGATTCTCCGATTCTTTTCCCCTTAAAGGCTTCCCCATTGCTTTTTTTTTTTTTTTTTTTTCGGAGTCTCTTTCTGTCACCCAGGCTGGAGCTGGAGTGCAGTGGCACGATCTTGGCTCACTGCAACCTCTGCCTCCTGAGTTCAAGCGAATCTCGTGCCTCAGCCTCCCAAGTAGCCAGGACTACAGGCGCATGCCACCACACCCGGCTAATTTTTCTGTATTTTTAACAGAGACGGGCTTTCGTCAGGTTGCCCAGGCTGGTCTCGAACTCCTGACCTCAGGTGATCTGCCCGCCTCGGTCTCCCAAAGTGCTGGGATTACAGGCGTGAGCCACCATGCCCCACCTCCCCAGTGCTCATTTTTAAGCTGACTGTAATCTGCAAAATTTGTAGCACAAGTTTCCTGCCTCAAGAATACTAGCACATTGGGTCCTGGAACAGATAAAATGAGCTATCTATTTGGATTTTTCTTCTTTCATTTGTGAAATATAAATAATAAATCTCACACAGAACTGTAAAATGAAGAATCATAAACAGACCATAGTGTCTTTTACAGAAAGAGTCTTTTGGTGCTAAATATTTGTCTCTGCTATTTAACTTGGCTGTACCTATTAAAAGCAAATGTAAGATTAGCATAAGAAAAAACGGGCAATTAAACATTGCAAATAACTTTTGTGTTATGACTTGCAACAAACCAAGTATTTGTAAGAAATTTCATGTAGCCAAAATGTATAATTTTGAACTAGTATTAATGTAAAATAAATCTTATACAGTATGCTAATTTATTTGCTCACATTATATCACATTAGTAAAATGAATTAATTTGACTTACAGAAAACTCGATGACATCTTAATAAAATGTATCTCAGAAAATGAGGACATTATTAAATATGAAGTACCATTGTCAAGTAACAGTCACTTTAACATATTGTCACTAAGAGACTGTTCTCTCTTCCTCTAATGGACATTAGAGCTTTATGCTGGTAATGAAAAGGAAATTTGTATAGTATGTCATTCAAAGAATAATATTCTGAAAAGCATTTGGAAAATTTTTCAAAATATTTTTACTATTTTCCATCAGTCAGTTAAATATTTTCAATCTTGTCTCTTGAATTATATATATAATAAATATCCAAAATAATCTTGCATATGTGTGCACAGATGTGTGCAAAATCTTGTTACTTCTAGTCTTTTTGGCTTGAGACACCAAGGTGATTAAAAAACAGGAAAAATACATGTATGAGAAATCTTAATAACAGAAAATAAAATAATCTCCTATATCTCACTAGTTATTCCTTTTATGAGCACAGATTATATGCTCTGCTGTTATCTCCTCCCACCATAAGTCTGAGGCCAGAGAGATTCAGTTCTTGACTATCATCTGGGCTTGGACATCGGTCTAGGAACTAGAAACACTGTACTTAGAGTTTTCCACCATTCAGGTTTTGTTTGTTTGTTTGTTTGTTTCTACCAAATAATTCAATTGGAAAATTCAACCAGAATTCTAAACAAAGATCATTTTTTAAAAGAATTATTTAATGACTCTCCAGGTAAACTTCTAAACAAATGCACTGAGTAATTAAATGAAAAGTAGGCAACAATTCACAGGCATATGATGATGGTGGAAATTCATTTTAGGAGCTGGAAGAATCTCTTAGCTCAATTCACCTGGGTCAGCATTCTTATACTCTGTTGCCATCTTGGCTGACTCCATACGCCATTACGCAAGAGCTCACCCTGGTACTTTAGCTCGTATTCATTTGGAACTCTCTCTCTTCTGCAACTTCCCTTGCCCACATTTTCCTGCATACTCTTCCATGGACTTTATTTCTCTTGCCTCTTTGCTCAGCTCCTGAAATCTACTATGAATAATGTATATAGGGGACACTGGATGCCTTCACTGGTTTTCTGTGCTGAGCTCTCTCCAACACAAAATTTACTATTTTGTTTTCTGATAGCATCCAAATTACAGTTTGTGCACTTCTTAAAAGCCTGGTCATCTGAACTTTGCCCCCTGACTGACAGTCTTTCTGCGTAGTGAAAAGAAACCATTTCCCTTGGTTTATTGTAGTTCTTGCAGAAAGTCAGGAGTAGGGTCACCCCTCTTTTCCTGCCCTCAAAGGAAAAGAATAACCTTCCAAAAAATCTTTGCTTCTGTGGTGCATTAATTTTTTACACTTTTAAACATCCTCTAGTTGCAGAAATGGGATATCAGAAATTATAGCGGTTAGCAGAAGTGTTGCACTGGTCCTTTGAAAAGTTCACTCCTGAAACATATGGGTATTTGAATTTCACCAAGACATTTGACAAAACCTTTCAGTTTAAACTGGTAAAATGGTGAAATGTGGACTTCATACTCTTTAATGACTTTCAATTTTAGTTTTTCTATCATTCATCCAAACTGGTGGATTGATTTCCACCGTGAGTGACATTTATAATTTATGATAGGGGACTCCGTCTAGCCCAGTCCTATTCAGCATTTTTATTAATGATTTGAATTAGGATAAAGAAAGAATACTTAGAATAGTCAAGAAAACACAAGGAAAACATATCTTAAAGTTTACATTATGAACTGACTCTACTAAAATAAATTTGTGAGATGGATTTATATAAAATATTACAGCTAGTAAGTTATTAGCTATTTCTTCATTTGTGTGGATTTCCAAAATTTTTCATTACATTTAAAAATAAATTATTGGTGCTAACAGTTGTTGACCAGTGAAATACATTATTTGAGGGGTATTTTTGAGAATCAGCTATAGCTCTGAACTCAGACTGCTTGAGTGTTGATTCTGAACTCAATTCTCACCAGTTATGTGACTTTATTTAAGTTACATAACTTCTCTGTGCCTTTGGGGATAACAATAGTGTTTATCTTATACAATTCCTGAGAGAAAAAAATAATAAAATAAATGCACAGCATTGGAGCAATGCCTGACAGATGGTATGAGCTCTGTAAGTCCCAGTGATTATTATTATCTTTACTTATTATCTTTTCTAAATATCTTTGCATCTGGACTATGTTTTCTTCTATATTCTGGCTTAAATTTTATCTTCAATAAAAATGGTGTGGTGAGAGAAATCCTCTGTTAACTGCAACTCCTTTTTAATTTTTATCTGAATGTAGGTTTACGTAGCCACACAGTACTGAAGAATTAGGAAGTTTCCTTAAAAGACATGGCTCACACTTCATCACTGTGCAAAGAAATGAACAATTCAAGAAAAAAATTAGATTAAATCCTGAAATTAAATCCCAGGTTTTAAAAAATGCTAGTAAAAATGGATCTACATGCCTTGCTATTAAGATCTAATATTCTCCCAAATATGTAGTAATGAAGGTTGGAAAGACATCCCTTAGGCATTCTCATGAAATGATCTGTATAAACAGCTTAAATAGACAGTGTGATTAAGGCCCCCTCAATAACATCAAAATCACCTCCAACTTAATTCTACTCATTCAAAGAAAGAAATTACTTCATTTCTAACTGAATACAAGATTCCTTTTTAAAGTAACGATTGGCAAACAATATTATTTGGCTTTGATATGAAATAAACCTAAATGTACTTTGAGGGTTATTAAATCACTGGGATCTTCAATACCAAGACGAATAAGAAGATACAATTGCTTCATTTTCTTCATGCTTTCCCCTGTGGACTGAATGTTCTGATCTTATTTACAAAGTGATTTTTTGTATTGGAAAGGTAATTTTAAAAATCATGCTTTTACCAGAAAGGACTGGGAATGAAAGTTAATATGGTAAAAGAAAAAAAAATGAGCCAGAGTAATACATTCTATTTCCATTTCACCCATTTCTTGTCCCTCACATGAGTGGAAAAAAATGGATATTTACATTGAATTTTTGAGAGTTTGACATGTTCTTAACTAAATACATCTTCAATAGAACATTTTCAAAATTCTCTTATAAACATCTCTCTATGAGCATTTTCCAAGGAACAGAAGAAGTCTATTTTTAACAAAGTCTGTAAGCTCTGCCAGAAGGAGACGCTTTGCCTCTTGGAGGAAGCCGCTTCACTGAGCACCCAGCAGTCATGAATCATTCCCCTTCAATACACAAGCTGTGCTCCTGAAGTTTACCAAAGGTATGTGAAGAACTTTAAATATCTGAAGAACATGGGATATGACTACGTTTATATTATATAAGTACAAGATAATAATATTTTTGAACGTTGACTTGATTTCTGATCCAAACAAAACAAAACTGAAACAGCCCTTTAAATTACGCACACATCACAATCTTTCCTCAAGCTATCTCAGTATTTCAATCCACCATCAGATGCCTTAAATATTATATACTGCTTCTAACTACTACACCATCATTCATTCCTCTACATTACCACAAGCCGAATTTTTATTTATGTATGATTCTCATCACTCTACTATAACTTCTTTTGGGTAAAATAACACCTCCCAATATAAATCACTTTTTCCAAGGAATGCTTATACACTGTTGGTGGCAGTGTAAATTAGTTCAATGATTGTGGAAAGCAGTGTGGTGATTCCTCAAAGAGCAAAAAACAGAAGTACCATTTAATCCAGAAATTCTATTACTGGGAATATAACCAAAGGAATATAAATCGTTCTATCATAAGGACACAGGCATGCATCTGTTCATTGCAGCACTATTAATAATAGCAAAGACATAGAATCAACCTAAATGCACATCAAGGGTATACCAGATAAAGAAAGTGTGGTACTTATACACCATGGAATACTATGCAGCTATACAAAATAACAAGATCATGTCCTTTGAAGAACTATGGAAGGAGCTGGAGGTTATTATCCTTAGCAAACTAACACAGGAACAGAAAACCAAACACTGCATGTCCTCATTTGTAAGTGCGAACTAAATGATGAAAACACATGGACACATAGAGGGGAACAACAGACCCAGGGGCCTACCAGAGGGTGGAGGGTGGCAGGAGAGAGAGGATCAGAAAAAATAACCAATGGGTACTAGACTTAATACCTGGATGATAAAATAATGTGTACAACAAACCCCTGTGACATGAGTTTACCTATATAACAAACCTGCACATGAGTTTGCCTATGTAACAAACCTGCACGAGTTTACCTATATAACAAGTCTGCACATGAGTTTACCTATATAACAAACGTGCACATGAGTTTACCTATATAACAAACCTGCACATGAGTTTACCTATATAACAAATCTGCACATGAATTTATCTGTATAACAAACCTGCACATGAGTTTACCTATGTAACAAACCTGCACATGAGTTTACCTATATAACAAACCTGCACATGAGTTTACCTATATAACAAACCTGCACATGAGCTTACCTATATAACAAACCCGCACATGAGTTTACCTATGTAACAAACCTGCACATGAGCTTACCTATATAACACACCTACACATGAGTTTACCTATATAACAAACCTGCACTTGTACCCCTGAACCTAAAATAAAAGTTTAAGAAATTACTTTTTCCTCTTCTTCCTCCTTATTCTATTTGTCCATTCAGCAGCCAAACATCACACTATTCCTTCCTTGAACATCACCTGCCTTCTGTCTTTCCAATCCTCTTTCACCTCATTTTAGACTTCCTTCTTGCAGCTTCCCCTAACACTCTTCTTTTCCTAAAGATGTGCTTTTCCCCTATTTTCGTCTCACTTCTACCCAATTTTCACTTTTTATATAAATCTTTTCAACAGTGTTCTATAATCAGAAAATGTACATATCTGAAATTTTTTCTGAACTCTAAAAAGGTATTTTAAACTATGTCTAAAGCCTCCATAGTTGACTAGACTGGAGTCAACTAAACTCAACATCTAACCCTCCAAAATCCTCTTCAGTGTTATTTGTTCCTATCTTAGTTCATAGGATCACTGCTATGTCCAGTTAGAAATCCATACATCATTGTTGAAATCAGTGTTCTCTCACCACTACAAAACATCTACAAATTCTTTAATTCTATTAACAAGATGGTTTTTATTCTAATCCATTCTCAATATCTCTCTCATTGTTCTGGTTCATTATCCCTCATTTGGTCTATCATAATAACTTCCTTACTAGCTTTATGTTCTCAAGAACTTTGAGGGTTGACAGTCAATAGCTCCTTCTCAAACATTTTCTTGCCTACCAATGTCATCCGCTATGAAAGTTTACTGGAGTTTTCTTATTTGTGCTAAATAAGATATTGTATCCTTAAATCCTCCTTTAGAATGGAGAAAGGCCAAGTCACTTTGAATACTTTGAATTATATATTATTAACACTTTTTTATATACTTGTTATTAATGATGTGATGGTGGTGGGAAGTATCATCAAAACTTATCCTTTTGGATACTCGGATATTCACTGATGAGCTTTTGGCCCCTTTCTCGCCCTAAGCAGAAATGAGATGGATTATTATGCAGAGGCCTTTAACTTCTGAGTTTGAAAATCCCACTTCCGAATTCCAGATATGCCACCCTAGTTTAAAGAAGAAATAACAGCTTGGACATTAAAAGTTTATCAAATTCTGTAATCCCAGCACTTTGGGAGGCTGAGGTGGGCAGATCACTTGAGGCTAGGAGTTTGAGACCAGCCTGACCAATGTGGTGAAACCCCATCTCTACTAAAAATACAATAATTAGCTAGGTGTGGTGGTGTGCACCTGTAATCCCAGCTATTTGGGAGCCTGAAGCAGGAGAATTGCTTGAATCTGGGAGGTGGAGGCTGCGATGAGCCAAGATCATGCCTCTGCACTCCAGCCTGGGTGACTGAATGAGAATGTGACTCAAAAAAAAAAAAAAGTTTATCAACTCCAGTCAAATGTGCTTTCACGAATTGCCCTCCTCCCATCGCTACCACCATATCCCAAAGCTACCCACGGGAAGAGGAAGAGAGCTGACAGAGCAGGGTTTGCAAACCAGCCTTTGAGAAGAGAACAAGAACCATATGGGAAGTACCTTCTCACTCAAGATGGACCAAAAAACACTTAAGGAAATTACACTGGAATTTGAAGGTATTTCTGGAAATAGGAGATGACAATAACTTCTCCTCTAGGCTTTGTTGCACATGAATGATGGAGCATAGAAATTGTCAAAGAAGTAGAGCTTGAAAGGGGAGTATGAGGAGAAGGGTGAATGGATGTGAGTGGAATCTTCATTAGATGAGCCAAGGGAAAAAAGATGGAGAACCTCTCTGATGTCACAAAGTATGACTGAGGGTGGGAAGTGCTGAAGGGAAACAAGAGCCAGTGCAAGGTAGAATGCTGCAAGTGGTGTGCCTGGCCCCGCTAAGTACAGGAGTCTGCACAGCTAGGGATGAGAGGTCAACTGCACAGCACCATGGACAGCAAATATCATAGCACCATTAACAGCAGAAATGAGTGTAGCATGGAAGCAGAAATCATATGGGACCTAGGAGTGTGTGTGTGCATGTGTGTCAGAGAAGGACAAGGAGGGGGACAGAGAAAGAGAGAAAAATAAAATTCTTTGTAGGTTGCTTGCAAAAGCTACTCATAAGTCTTACTGTGATACCAAGTGACCCAGAGGGAGTGTAGTGGACCGCACTTATACAGAATTTAAAATTTGAATTAACTGAGCCTATATCTTGCACGGGCTGAATATTCTCCTGAAAAAAGGCATATTTTCAAAAGGAAGTAACTAGAGTATTAGTGTCAAAATATGGTATTTTAGCTAAAGAGAATTATCAGGAGTAATTATAACTCAAAAAGCTGTTTTTAAAAAGAGTAATGCATGCTATTAGGGAAAAATTCCCTCCTATACACACTGATAAGATACTAACATTGACTTAATGCTCAAGGTCCCACGTTCCTCTACTTCACTGCCATCCTCTTCCCTGCCTCCCACCACCTGTTATAGGAAACACGACTGGTTACCTATTTCCCTTTCTGCTCATCCCTAGCCCAAGGCTATTGTTCCCCTTTGGCTTCCTTGGATAAGAAGTTTCCCTATCCATTTTGCTGACTCTCTCTCACTAAGCCTAGAAGATGCATATTATTTGTCGATTCTCTGGGGAAGCATCTCAGACCAAACCCAGGTTGAGTCATGCTTTCTCTTAGGGCTCCACTAATACCCCATGCACATCTCTATGGCTGTCCTTGCCAGGCTTCATTAAAGCCTACAGATTCCATGTTGGTTTCCCGCAGTGCTTTGAGCTCCTGTGGACAATTATGGCTCTCCTACACATGTATGTGTCTATTTCACTGAGCATGATGCCTGACATATAATAGATGACCAATAAATATTTAATTCAACAAATGGGTAGAAGTAATGTCTATTATCAAAAAGACAACAGATTATAACTGTTGGCAAGGATGTGGAAAAAGGGAACCCTGGTAAACCGTTGATAGAAATGTAAATTAGTACATCTATTATGAAAAATAATATAGGGGTTCCCTCAAAAAATTAAAAATAGAAATACCATATGATTCAGCAATCCCATTTCTGGGTATATATTCAAAGGAACTGAAATCAGTATGTCAAGGAGATGTCTGCACTCCCATGTTTATTGCAGCATAATTCATAATAGCCAAGATGTGAAATGAGCCTAAGTGCTCATCAACAGATGAATGAACAAAGAAAATATTATACATACATACATAGACACACACATACACACACAAACACACGCACACACTGGAATGCTATTCAGCTTTTTAAGAAAAGATCCTGTCATTTATGATAATGCGTATGAACCTGGACGGCATATGCTAAGTGAAATAAGCCAGTCACAGGAAGAGAAATACTGCATGGGTCAGGGTTAGAGTTAGAATTAAGGTCAGGGTTAGGGTTAGGGTTAGGGTTAGCCTGAATATCTACATGCAGAAGAGTGAAATTGGACCATTATCTCACACTTATGGAATCTACATGCAAAAGAGTGAAAATGGACCATTATCTCACACTTGTGGAATCTAAAAAAGTTGGACCAATAGAAACAGAAAGTAGAATGGTAGTTGCCAGGGGCTGGGGAGAGAAAAGGAAAAGAAAATGGGGAGATGTTAGTTAAAGAGTACAGTTTCAGTTAGACAGGATAGAGAAATTCTGTAGATCTATTGTACCAGTATGGTGACTATAGTTAATAATAAGGCAATACATGATTTTAAAATGCTAGGAGATTAAGTCTTCAATGCTCTCAACACTAAAATAGTATGAGGTGATAGGTATGTTAATTAGATTGACTTAATCATTTTACAATGTGTA
The DNA here is from genome assembly GCF_000001405.40 of Homo sapiens. NCBI lineage: Eukaryota > Metazoa > Chordata > Mammalia > Primates > Hominidae > Homo > Homo sapiens. The sequence goes on along the minus strand of NC_000016.10, from coordinate 76,116,665 downwards.
CATATAACAAAATATCATGTACACTGTAAATATATACAATTTTTTTCAATTACACCTTAATAAACCTGAGGGAAGAAAGGAAATAAAAATAAAATGTTTATGAATAAATTTAACCAAGGAGGTAAAATACCCACACACTAAAAATTACAAAATATTGATTAATAAAATTGAAGAAAACACAGATAAACAAAAAGCTATCCCATGTTTATGAACCAAAATAATTGATATTGTTAAAATTTTCATACTACCCAAAGCAATCTAAAGATTTGATGCAATCTCTACCAAAATTCCAATGGCATTATTCACAGAAATAGAAAAAAAAATAAAATTAATGTGTAGTCATAAAAGACCCTGAATAGCCAAAGAAATCTTTATGAAGAAGAACAAAGTTGCTGGTACATCATGCTGCCTGACTTCAAAATATAGTACAAAATTGTAGCAATCAAAATAGTATGGTACTGGCATAAATACAGACATAGAACGATGGAACAGAATAGAAAGTCCAGAAATAAATTTAAATTACACGTTTGTGGTCAATTTATCTTGGACAAAGGTGCCAAAACTACACAATGAGAAAAGGATAGTCTCTTCAGTGAATGGTGGGAAAACTGAATATCTACATGCAAAAGAATGAAATTGTACCATTATCCCATACAATATACAAAATCAACTCAAAATATATTAAATATTTAAATGTGAGACTTGACATTCTCTCTAGTAGGAGAAAACAGAGATGAAAAGCTCATAACATTGGTCTTGGCACAGACTTTATGTATATGACCCCAAAGCACAGGCAACAAAAGTAAAAGTAGACAAAACTACCAAATTTAAAAGCTTCTGCAGAGCAAAGGAAACAATCAACAGAGTAAGAGACAACCTACAGTATGCATAAGAATATTTACAAGTCAGGGATCTGATGAAGAGTTAATACCCAAAACATGTAGGAAACTCAAACAACTCAATAGCAAGAAAACAAACAGCCAGAATAAAAAATGAGCAAAGGATTTGGGAATAGATATTTCTCAAAAGAACACATACAAGTGATCAACAAGCATCTGAAAAATTGTTCAACATCACTAATCATTAGAAAAATGCAAATTAAAACCACAATAAGATATCATCTCACACCTTTTAGAATGGCTATTACTGAAAAGATAACAAGTGTGGAGGGAAAGGAGCCCTTTTACACTGCTGGTGGGAATGTCAATTGATACAGACATTAGAGAAGACAGCATGGATGTGTGTCAAAATTTTAAAAATAGAACTGTCATATGACCCAGCAATCCCACTCCTGGGTATATATGCAAAGGAAATAAATTTGGTATGTCAAAGAGTTATCTCTATTCCTACGTTCACTGCAACATTATTCACAATAGCCAAGACATGAGGATACTGTAAATGTCCGTGTATGGATAAATGGAGAAAGAAATTGTGATGTATACATATCATGGTATATTAATCAGCCTTAATAAAGAAGAAAATTCTGTCATTTGCAACATCATGAATGAACCTGGAGGACATTATGTTGAGCGAAGTAAGCCAGGCACAGAAAGACAAATATTGCATGATCTCACTCATATGTGGAATCTAAAAAACCTAAAGTACTAATATGTATTATGACATGGATGAAACTCAAATACATTATACTGTGTGAAAGAAGTCAGACACATAAGGTTCAAAGTGTATGATTCATTTATACGAAATACCCAGAATAGGCAAATCTACAGAGACGGAAAGCATTGGCAGTTGCCAGGACTGTGGGGAGGTGGGAATGACAAGTAATAATTGCTTAAATGGTGCAGGGTTTCCTTTTGAGATGATAAAAATAGGAACCAGATGGTGGTGTAGGTTGCACAATATTGTGAATGTACTAAACGCTATTGAATTGTACACTTTAAAATGGCTGAAATGGTGGATTTGATCTAAACAAAGAAAGTTATTTTATCATATGTATGTTTTGTTAATCTTAATTACTCACATAATAATATGTTGTGAACATCTTTCCATGACATTAAATAATCTTATGAAATATTTAAAAATTTTAAATTTTATAATTTTTTTAAACTGAACTCATAGAAGCAGAGAGTACTATGGTAGTTGCCACAGTATGGAGGGTGGTAGAAACAGAGGTCTAAAGTTTCAGTTTTAAAGAAGAAATAAGTTCTGGAGATCTAATGTACAGCATCGTGACTACATGTAATAAACTGTATTGTATACTCAAAATAAGAGAGTAAGAGTAGATCTTAAATGTTCTCACCACACACACACACACACACACACACACACACACACACAAATGGTAACCATGTAAGGTGGTGAATATGTTGATTAGCTTGATTGTGGTAATTATTTCACAATGTATCCATATATCAAAACATCAGGTTGTAGATTTTAAGCATCTTCACTTTGTCGTTGTCAAGCATGCCTCAGGAAATCTGGGAAAAAACTTAAAAATAGATGGATAAATGAATATTGAATTTTAGTATCCTGATGATAGGATACTAAAACGCATCATCAATGGGATTATGTTTAGCAAACACAAAATACATTTCTTGGACCTCAAAAATTGTCCACCATAGTCTTATTAATATATAATTCTTTGTTTTTACTATTATTACTAGTTCATCAACTTTACACATTGATATTCTTATGGAGTGGTTTATTGCCACACCATGTCATTTAGTTTACAGAAAAACAGTGAGCAAAGTGAAACAACCCATCCCTGAAAGGGCTTCATAAATATTGGCACACTCAGAGCAGAGTTATCATTATAAGAGATTACTGGAGATAGAATAATAGATCCAAATTAAGGGCAACTTCAATTTCTATACAGCTAGACTCTAAATCTCAACAATATGTACTGTTATGTCGACTTAGGTGCTATTAGAAGGAGACTGATTTTCAAAGTTTAGTCTTACTGCTGAGGGGGAAAAAGGTAATGATTTTTTTAATTGTGTGGAAACTTAGGGCAAAGTAACTTCATTTATCTCAACAATTTTAGTGAAGGGTTTGTGTCTCAGGCTACTTTGTAAAGGTAAATAGCAATGTGGATTACATTCAAGACAAAAAACAGAAGAGATAAGAGACGATCTTCCTCATTATTGAGGCTCATGACTAGAACAGAACATTGGTAACTTACTAAAAATCCCACCAAGACTTATTTTTAAGGAGCCTCAAATGATTTACCAATTGAAAATGTAACTAATAATGTGAAAGAAAGTGGGAGAAATAAATACTGATTGTAGCCATAAGATTAAATTCCACCTCCAAATGTCTTTTTTCCTTACCTATGTCTTACATAAGTTGCTTTCTCAGACAGCAAAAAAAAAAAAAAGGTCAATTTGTTTAATGCAGGCATCAGAGTGTTTCTTTCAATCATTTATTTATTTATTTATTTATTTATTTATTTATTTATTTATTTATTTATTTCCAGACAGAGTCTTGCTCTGTAGCCAGGTTAGAGTGCAGTGGCACAATCTCGGCTCACTGCAACCTCCGCCTCCTGGGTTCAAGCGACTCTCCTGCCTCAGCCTCTGAGTAGCTGGGACTACAGGCATGCGCCACCACGCCTGGCTAATTTTTGTATTTTTAGTAGAGACAGAGTTTCACCATGTTGGCCAGGATGGTCTTGATCTCCCGACCTCGTGATCTGCCTGCCTCGACCTCCCAAAGCACTGGGATTACAGGCATGAACCACCGCGCTCAGCCTGAGTGTTGATATTTTTAAGGAAAACATGTGTTGGTTCCTTAGTTATGTAGGCAATCGTCTCGAATATTGTGTATATTTCCATTTGCCAAGACGTTTGGACAGAGCTAGTGCATCTCAAACTGAAGTTGCAGGTTGTTTGCCCTGAGTCTACTGTAGAACCTGAACAGGCACCAAGAGCCAGACAGAACCAAGAACATTTCATTACCAAGAAGAAGGAAGGTATGATAGAGTGCTATAACCAGCATGACTCAGAGAAGAGTTTGTTTCATTCTTGGTACTGAGGTTTAAAAGTACTGGATTGAGTTGTTTTCCCAAACTATTTTCCTAACCATTTAAACAGCACTGTCTTATCATAAATCATGCTGGCTTAGGGCCAGTAACATATGGCCTTTATAGGATTTCCCTTTTGAGTTAGATAAACACATTATTTTGTAGCAATAAAATTTAAGTCATGATTATAGCCTATAAAAACATACAGACTTTAGAGAAAAATGAATAAAAAAGAAAAGATGGATTGGGTATAAAATTCACAGTGACTGCATACACAGTGACTTAGACATGTTCATTAAATATAATCATGGTATAATTTGTTTCTTAATGAAGTAATAGAAGCGCTGATAAAAGAAAAATGGGCGAGATGAGAGTGGGGATGTTATTCAGGTCATATATGCATAACCAAACAGACAGATCTCATCTGTGCATGAGGGAATGGCAGCTCTGTAACAGAATCATGTACAAAATTACCGAAAGAATATTTTCTTCTTTTTTTTTTTTGCCACTTTCAAAAAGTGACTGGTTCCTTTAATTTCAGCAAAGCAACCATTCATAAAGTTTGTATTTCTCTTTTGTAGAGAGGCAGAATCATAAAACATAACTCATCAAACCAATTCAAATGAATTATTTAACAGAAATTGTTAAAAGTGAAGAAATAGGCCGGGTGCAGTGGCTTGTGCCTGTAGTCACAGCTACTTGGGAGGCCAACAGGAGAAACACTTGAGCCTAGGAGTTTGAATGTAGCTTAGACAACTTAGTAATATTAATAACCCATCTAGGAAGGAAGGAAGAAAGGAAAGAAGGGAGGAATGGAGGGAGGGGGGAAGGGAGAGGGAGAGAGGGAGGTATTTCATCCAAGTGAAGAACAGAGAAGTAGAATAATCTAATACAGTAATATTGGTAAGCTTCAGCACAGTCATAAGGGTAAATAATTTTTATTTGGCTAAAAACAAAATAAAAATCTCTAGGATTGTATCTTAAAAAGGGATATTTGCTTGTTAATTATTTAGAAGTTCTTATGAAAAATGAGTCAGTCTACTTTAAAAAAAAAAAACTTTATTTGACCATCAATGATAGACTGCATAAAGAAAATGTGGCACATAAACACTATGGAATACTATGCAGCCATAAAAAAGATGAGTTCATGTCCTTTGCAGAGACATGGATGAAGCTGGAAACCATCATTCTCAGCAAACTAACACAGGAACAGAAAACCAAATACTGCATGTTCTCACTCATAAGAGGGAGTTGAACAGTGAGAACATATCAACACAGGGAGGGGAACGTCATGCACCAGGGCCTGTCAAGGGGTGGGAGGCTAGGGGAGGGAGAGCATTAGGAGAAATACCTAATGTAGATGACGGGTTGATGAGTGCAGCAAACCACCATGGCACGTGTATACCTATGTAACAAAACTGCACATTCTGCACATGTACCCCAGGACTTAAAATATAATTTAAAAAAAGGAAAAAAATTCAAAAAATAATCATCCCAAAATCTCAATATCCAGGTATCATTACTGTTGTTAGTGATACATTTATACACAATGTAAGTACATTTGCAAATAAGATATCATAGTAATGCACTACAAGAAATGACTTCCAACTCTTTTCACTTAATACTATATAATGGCCTTATTTAAAAATCAATACAAATAGATCTATCTGCTTTTTTCCAAACTGCTAGTGATATCAATAGTAATTTATTTAACTACTGTCCTCTTAATGGAACATTTAGATGAGTCTAACATATTGGTACCACTAACTGTATTCTAATAGATATCTTCTTAAATGCTTACATTGTATGTGCACTTTAAATTTTGAGAAATTGTCAAATCAGCAACGTGTTTGAGAATATTTGTTTCCCACATTTTGTCATCACTGAGAACCTTGAATTACTTTAATCTTTGCAAATTTGATAGGCAAAAAGGTAATTGTTTTCATCGACATATATTATTAAGGACATCAATGATCTTTTCAGCTAATTTTAGGGATCCCTCTGACAAATCTTCTGTTGATTTGGTCATCATTTTCCTTATTTTGCAAGGTATTCTTTATATGCTATAGATATATGTATTACAGATCATTTATGGGGTACATGAAACTCTATAAGGAAGGATACTGTTAGAAACGAAACGTATGTGTGCTCCCAAAACCATAGGGCTGAAGCCCCAACCCTGAGTGTGGATGCACTTGGAGTAAGGAAGCCGCTAAGGTTAAACGAGATCATATGGGTGAGGCTCTGATCTGATGGAATGAGTGTCCTTATAAGAAGAGACCAGAGAGCCATTCCTCTCCCTCCACCTGCATGCACAGAGGAAAGGCCATGTGAGAATATAGTGAAATGATGAACATCTGCAAGCCAGGAAGAAGCCCTCACAGGAGACCAAATCAGCCAGAATCTTGATTGTGGACTTTTAGCCTCCAGAACTGTGAGAAAATAAATTTCTGTTGTTTAAGTCAACTAGCCTATGATATTTTGTTATGGCAGCACAAGCAGACTGACAGTTATCATTAATGTCCCTACTTCACAACAAATAAAACACAAAGCCTAAAAAATTAAACAAATACTTCCTCAAGGTCACCCAGCAGTATGTGTTGGATACAAGATCCCACCCCTGAGTTTCTGACTACCAGTAGGCATTTCTATCACCTCAAGCATCAATCTATTATTTCAGACCACTGAGATCTTTGTGGTGCATAATTCAGTCCACTTTTGCTTTTTCCCTAAAATTAATATGTTAGTTTTCTGTGTTGCATAACACACTACCACACACTTAGCAGCTTAAAACTAAACTCCTTTATTGGCTGATAGTTTTTGTAGGTTAAAAGTCCAATCACAGTTTACCTGGGTTCTTTACTTCAGGATCACACCAGCTAAAATCCAGGTATCATCCAGGGCTATGGTCTCATCAGAGGCTCAAATGTGGAAAGATCTGTTTCCAAGCCCTCTCAGGATATTGATGTAATTCATCTCCTTGCAGTGATAGGACTGGGGTTTCTGTTTTCTTCCTTTTTTGTTGTTGTTGTTAAATTTTTTATTTTTTCCAATTTTATTAAAGTATAATTGACAAATAAAATTGTATATATTTAAGGCGTACATGATGTCTTGATATATATGTATATTTTGTGAAATGAGTACCACCATCGAGTTAGTTAACACATCCATCACTTTACATAGTTACATGTGTGTGATGAGAAAACTTAAGATCCATTCTCTTAGCACATTTCAAGTATACAATATAGTATTATTAACCATAGTGACTAAACTGTACATTAGATCCTAGAATTTACCTTCTAACTGAAAACCTGTACTATCTGACCAACACCTTCCCACTTCCCCCAACCCCTCAGTCCCTGACAACCACCGTTCTACTCTCTGTTTCTATGAGTTTGCCTTTTTTGAACCCCACATATAAGAGAAATCTTATGGTATTTATCTTTCTCTGTTTGACTTATTTTACTGAGCAAAATGCCCTTTAGATTCATCCATGTTGTCACAAATGACAGGATTTCCTTCTTTTTGTGGCTGAATAATATGCCAGTGTATGTGTGTGATATTTTCTTTATCCAGTCATCCACTGACAGACACTTACATTGTTTCAATGTCTTGGATATTGTGAATAATGCTGCAATGAACGTGGGCGTGCAACTATCTCTTCAAAATGCTGATTTTGTTTCTTCTGGGTGTATACCCAGAAGTGGGTTTGTTGGATCATATGGTAATTATATTTTTAACTTTTAAAAGAATCTCCATACTGTTTAATATAATGGCTGTATTAATTTATGTTCTCACCAGTGGTGCACAAGGGTTCCCTTTTCTCCATATCCTACTCAAAGCAATCTATAGATTCAGTGCAATCTGTTTTTTCTCTGTCAACTAAGGGTACTTCTCAGCTTCTTGAAGTCACCATGGTTTCTTGTTACATAGCCCTCTCCATAGACTTTATCACAAAATGGCAGTTTAATTCTTCAAAACCAGTGCTGACGTTTCTGTTCCTACAAAGAACTCAGTTTCCCCTTTGAAGGCCTTCATCTGATTAAGTCAGGCCCACCCAAGAATATTTCCCTTTTTATTAACTCAAAAGAAACTGATGTGAGGCCTTAATGACATCTGCAAAAATATCCTTTCATCTTTTCCATATTCTATTGGTCAGAAGTAACTCACAGGTTCCACCCATGCTTAAGGGGATGATTATACAGGTGTGAACACAAGGGGGCAGGAATCATGGGGACTGCCCTGGGGTCCACCAACCACAGTGAGAATCATGTGTTTGTCCTTAACTCTAAAATCCATGTTCTTTTCCAGTAACTGCTGACAATCTGTCCTGTGGAATTTTAGGGGCAGAGGAGATGCTGGTCAGCCAGAGGATACAGGGGAAGAACAGAAAAGGCATAACAAGAGGGAAGAAGAGGTGACTGGAGAAAGAGAGACATATTCACGCCACAGTGAGCAGAAGAGTTACACTGGAGCAATGGCTTTATATAAGAAGAGAAGTTTTAGCTCTCTCTTGTCCCATATCCAGCTTACTATGTAAGAAAATTACACAAGTTTTTTTCAATTTCATTTTTTCTCTATGTCAGTGAGACACCCAGTTTTTCTTGTCAATGACAGCTCCCTCATGGTGTCCCTCATCCTTTGTGCCTCAACTAAAATGACAAATTCCACTCTCCCACATCAGTTTGTTTCTTCCTCACTTATACTTAGAAGAATAGACCTCATAATTTTAACTCAGAGTTCAGCTGACTCTCTCCTGTCCCTTAAGATTAGTGTGTGTCCCTAAAACTGTAACCTGGGGTAGTAGAGAACCTTCTCCAATGTCTGCACAGTCACTAAGGGCTTCCTTCTTGGGTCCCTTCTGGCTGAAGGCTCCTTTGAGCTTTTCTGGATTCTACTTTCTATCACATCACCTTCTGCCAGTGCCTTTCCACACATCATTCTGAGGTTACCAAATCTAAGGGCTACTTTAAAAGACAGAGGTAAAGTTTTAAATATACAGATGGAAGGTGTTTTCACATGACAAAAATGTAAACCATTTGTTTCTAAACATGAAGAACCTCTTAAGATTTTAGTTAGCTTCCCACTACCACTACCAACAGCCCTCACACAATATGATCTCACTGGGTCTTTTTTTTTTTCCATGTCTCTCTCACTTATAGTTTTTCTCTTATTTGGTATAGGAAAGAAAACAATAAAAAGTCATCTGATTTCCTCATACTGAGTAGCTCCCCATGTGATTCGGGTGTTGTGGGTACTCATGTCCTGGTGACTGTACCTCCCAGCTCAAGCTGCCAATCACGGTATTTTCCCTAAAATGTTCCCTTCCCAAAATGGAAACCTCATGTTCGTTGTCAAGATAATAAAAGTTGCACATTAGCGGCACATTTATAATCTTGCTAAATCAGAGGTCCTAGAGGATACTTACTTAATTTGTCTTATTCATTTTGAGAATACCCAGTCCCCTGCCATGAGTCTAACAAGCCTTCAATATGCAGATTGCATTGAGCATTGGAAAGATATATTGAAACTTAGCAAGTTTACATAGAAAATACTATTCAAGCGCAACCTGTGTTTCTTGTTAATTTGCAGGAATTTATGCTTTCTTCTGTTTGCTGGACTTCAGAAACATGGAACTTGAATATTGTATAATAAAATACAGCACCGTATTATATCAAACTACACACTCCTAGACCTACCATTTCAAATACACTGCATCGTGCACCTCCAAATACACCATGTATACACTACATTTACCACTCCAACTGTTTTACATGCCATGCCAAATACCACATCCCAACAGCACACACAACACCCATGTCCACCATGTCCATCACAACATACTGCACCACAGTGCATAATGCACACTATACCATAACCCACCACACACCCCATACCCTATACCTACTATCCCCAACAGAACGTATTACACCACCCACACAACAGAACATGCTATACAATGCCACTTCCAATATATCATGTACCAAATCGCATCATACCACATAGCGCACCGTCCCACAATTACCATCACAATACACCACACCGAACATACACAAATATAAATATGTGGTTCTGGTTCAATCCTGAGTGAAAACAGGGAATGTTAAAAATTTAAAGATGACTCAGTCCTCTATTAGAATGAAACATCATAGAATACTGACCTATATAAAAATTAACATGGACTCCATGGAGAAATATGTATGTCCAGACTTATAAAACACATGAATACTTATAAGGAAAACTGTAGCTATATAGGGAAAGCAGAAAGCTGGGATGTGAGAAGGAAAAGGAAAGTTGAGTCCCGATAATTTGTGAATGATCCAGAGTGACTCTTAAGATAATATGTTGGTCTGTCCCTCAATCACTTTTCTCTGACCAGATAGAATTTGTCACACAATGTAAATATTAACTTGTTTATTTCCCAGCCTACTCTGTGAGGACACAAATCAACATCCTTGCTTTTTATTTTCTCAGAATATTACACAGCACCTGGCACATAGCAGGCATTCAAACAGTTTTTATTGAATCACTCCCTTGAACAGAGGGATTAACTTACTATTACTGAAGTTACAAAAGCAAAATTTCAAGATACATCTACTCTAAGGAAGTCTCTAAAATTAAATAATACTGTTAGGGGACTTTTGAAGCCCTTGCTCCCTCATTCATTTTCATCCCCTTTCAAATTTCATGGGAAATTTTAGAGCATTCAATTTCAAACAGAATTGTGTAACAGATTTCAAATTAAATAAAAGTAGATTTCCCTATGATTTAAAAGTGGAGTAAGTTTCTAATCAATTATGCTTATATTTCGCTTGGCTTGTCCTTCACAGCATAGAATTTCTAATGGTGTATAAAGTTGGGAAAACCATAAACAGTCTCTCTGCCATATGCTATCGTTTTCTTTAATTACAGTCTTATTTGGTTTCTTAATGAAGTAAAAATAAAATCCAATATATAAATGTTATGACATTTAGGGATATCTAATTCATGTTCTCGTCCTGTGATTGATTTTCCTTGATGAAGAATTAGAGTGGGTTAAGGCCTTTAGAACCAAATATATTCTAAGCTTCTCAACACATCAGTTTCCAAATAATTGTCTTTTATTTTTTTCAAAGCCATTGAGGTACAGAGCTTTATAGCTCCTGTGAGGCCATCTTTCTGAACATAGGTATCTTCATGAAAATGCAATTAATGTAATTCATCATGCACTCGAATTTGAAAAAGACTGATCCAAACTGCCCATTAACTCTGAAGGAAACCACAGTGATTCTTATTTATCATGAAAATATTTTTTCTATCACCTCATTGTGCTCATTTTTATGAGTTAATGGAAAATGAGATGGTAAATATTATAAACAAAAATATCTTTAGTATATCCTAAGATTTGCAATGCACATTGACTAATATTAAATAGTGATTGTAATTAATTTGCTTTGAACAATCATATATTAGAATATAGACTTAAGAAAGGGGCAGAGCACGATGGCAGAATAGGACTCTCCAGCATTCATCCCCTGTAGGGACCAGCCCCACAGGGTCAGTGAGTCTCTCCCCATGTGTGGCGACGAGAGAGTGTAGAAATAAAAACACAAGACAAAGAGATAAAAGAAAAGACAGCTGGGCCCGGGGGACCACTACCACCAATGCGCAGAGACCGGTAGTGGCCCCGAATGTCTGGCTGCGCTGTTATTTATTGGATACAAAGCAAAAGGGGGCAGGGTAAAGAGTGTGAGTCATCTCCAATGATAGGTAAGTTCACATGGGTCACGTGTCCACTGGACATGGGGCCCTTCCCCGCCTGGCAGCCAAGGCAGAGAGAGAGAGAGGAGACAGAGAGAAAGACAGCTTACGCCATTATTTCTGCATATCAGAGACTTTTAGTACTTTTACTAATTTACTACTGCTATCTAGAAGGCAGAGCCAGGTGTACAGGATGGAACATGAAGGTGGACTAGGAGCGTGACCACTGAAGCACAGCATCACAGGGAGACGGTTAGGCCTCCGGATAACTGCGGGCAAGTCTGACTGATGTCAGGCCCTCCACAAGAGGTGGAGGAACAGAGTCTTCTCTAAACTCCCCCGGGGAAAGGGAGCCTCCCTTTCCTGGTCTGCTAAGTAGCGGGTGTTGTTCCTTGACACTTTTCGCTACTGCTAGACCACGGTCCGCCTGACAACGGGCATCTTCCCAGACGCTGGCATCACCGCCAGACCAAGGAACCCTTCTGGTGGCCCTGTCTGGGCATAACAGAAGGCTCGCACTCTTGTCTTCTGGTCACTCCTCACTGTGTCCCCTCAGCTCCTATCTCTGTATGGCCTGGTTTCTCCTAGGTTATGATTATAGATCAAGAATTATTATAATATTGGAATAAAGAGTAATTGCTACCAACTAATGATTAATGATATTCATATATAATCATATCTAAGATCTATATCTGGTATAACTATTCTTGTTTTATATTTTATTATACTGGAACAGCTCGTGTCCTTGGTCTCTTGCCTCGGCGCTTGGGTGGCTTGCCGCCCACAATCCCCCGACAGAAACATCAATTTTGACAACGATTTACACACAAAAACACCACCACAAAAGCTAAGGGAACCAAATAACCAGGTAAGAGATCACAGAACCTGGGAATAGCACAGAAATAAGAAAAGATACATTGAAGAGGCTGGAAATGACAGTTTCCATTACCTATGTTGCCTTTTTCCCAACCCAAGGCAGTACAGTGTAGAGAGAGATAACCTCTGCATGAGAGAAAGAGAGGGAAGTCAGCCAGGACTTTGCCTTAGACTCCAACACTGGGCCCACCACAGTAAAAGCCAGCACCAGATAGACCCCCATAGCCCCAGAATACAGGCTGGTACCCATGAACTGAGGCTCCAGATCAGCCCCAGTGCCAGACTTCAGGCCTCTGCAGTGGACTCAATCTCAGTCTACACCACTGTGAGGCTGACTTCAGTTGCCCTAGACTATGAACAGCCCTCAGTAGCAGGCTGGCCACAGTGGTTCTGAGCTTCAGGCTAGTCTCAGTGGCCCCAGGCTTCACGCCAGCTCCAGTGGCACCAGGCTTCAGATTCACCCCAGCACAAGACTGGCCCTGAGAACATGGGCTTTAGGCCTGTCCCCAGGAATATAAGCTATAGGTTTACCCTAGCAGACCCAATCAACCATCCGAGTGAATTCGGGCACCAAGACAGCCAGCCCAAGGGCTCCAGCAGCAAGTCTTCCCATGGACCATGGCAGATGCCCTGCCAGAATCTTGAGATAGGCTGATTATTGAAGTGCTTTCCCAGAAAAAGTAAGTCTTCAAAAACCAGAATAAGTATCTACCTCTTCGTATGTGCTGACATTGACACATAGCCACAAGGATCAAGTATGATGAAGGAAATATGACATTACCAAATTGACAAAATAAAGTTCCAGTGATCAACCTTAAAGAAATGGAGATGTATGAACTGCCTGACAAAGAATTTAAATGGCTGCTTTAAGGAAGTTCAGGGAACGTCAAGAAAATAGAGAAACAATTCAGCAAAATGTAGAAAATAAGAAATGGCCAAAACAAGAAATTTAACAGAGAGATTGAAATAATTTTAAAAAGCTAAGCAGAAAATTTGGAGATGAAAAATAGAATGAACAAAATAAAAACGAAATAGAGCACATCAATAGCAAAATTAATGAAGCAGAAAGAATCTGTGAACTTAAAAAACGGGTTATTTGAAGGTACACAAACAGAGGAGAAAAAAGAAAAGGAATTAAGAAGCTTATGAGATCTTATGCAACAGCATCAAAAGAACAAATTTGGGGTCACAATATTTCAAGAAAGCAAAGAGAAAAAAAGGAGTAGAAAGCTTGCTTAAAGAAATTATATTAGAAAACTTTCCAAACCTGGAGAAAAGATATAAATATCCATGGGCAGGAAGGTCAAAGATCTCCAATTAGATCCAATCCAAAAAAGACTACACCAAGACATGTTATAATCCAACTATATAAAATCAAAGACAAAAAGAGGATCCTGAAACACAAGAAAAGAAGCAAGTTACATATAAAGGAGTGTCAATATGACTAGCAGTGGATATCTCAGCAGAAATCTACTGAGAACAGACCAGGGAAGAGTGGGATGATATATTTAAAGTGCTGAAGAAAAAAAAAACTCCCAACTAAGAATACTGTATCCAGCAAAGCTTTCCTTCAGAAATGAAGGAGAGATAAAGATTTTCCCAGCCAAATAAAGGCTGAGAGAATTCATTCCCAAAAGACTTGTCTTACAAGAAATTCCAAAAAAGGTTTTTCAAGCTGAAAGAAAAGGATGCTAATTAGTAACATTAAACCATAAAAGTATAAAACTCACTGGTAAAAATAATTACAAAGTCAAATTCAGAATATTCTAATACTGTAATGGTGGTATGTAAATCACTTACTTCTTTGGTTTGAAGGTTAAAATAAAAACTATTGACATAATAACTGCAATAATTTGTTCAGGGGTATGCAATATAAAAAGATATAAATTGTGATATCAAATATATAAATTGTATGGAGAGTGGTAGAGTAAATGTATTGAGATTTTTTATCTGATCATTAAGTTATCACCCTAAAATAACCAGTTATAACTACACAGTGTTTTATGTAATCCTCATGGTAACCACAAGTCAAAAACCTATAGCAGACACACAAATGATAAAAGTAAGGAATCAAAGAATACCGTTAAAGAAAATCACCTAATTGTAAGGAAAGATAGCAAAAGGAAAGGAACAAAAAATCTATAAAACAAACAGGAAACAATTACCAAATTGACAATATTGAGTCCTTACTGATCAATAATTACCTTGAATGTAAACGAATTAAATTGTATAATCAAAAGGCAGAGTGGCTGAATGGATTAAAAAAAACAAGATCCAAATATTTTCTGCCTAAAAGAGACTCACCTTAACTGCTGGACAAACAGACTGGAAGTGAAAGGATAGAGAAAGATGTTTTATGCAAACTAAAACCTAAAGAGAACAAATGTAATTATACTTATGTCAGATAAAATGGGCTTTAAGTCAAAAACTGTAAAAGAGACAAAGACATTATATTGATTATAAACTAAAGGTATCAATACATCAAGAGGATATAACAATTATAAATATATATGCACCCAATATCAGAATGACTAAATATGTAAGGCAAATAGTAATAGACCTGAAAGGAGAGATAGACTGTAATACAGTAATGGTAGAAGACCTGAATACCCCATTTTCAGCAATGGATAGATCATCCAGACAGAAAATCAATAATAAAACCTCAACTTAAGCTACACTTTAGGCCAAATGGTCCTAACAGACATATCTAGAACATTCCATCCAACAACAGAATACACATTTTCCTCAAGGGCACATGGAACTTTCTCCAGGATAAGTAATATTTTAGGCTGCAAAACAAGTCTCAACAAATTTAACAAGATTGAAATCATATCAAATATATTTCCTGCACAATAGTACGGAACTAGAAAACAATAACAGGAGTAATCTTGAAAAATTTACAAATATATGGAAGTCAAACAACATGCTCTTAAACAACTGATGGGTCAGAGGAAGAAATTTAAAGGGAAATTTTAAAATATTCTGAGACAGACAAAAATGGGAACACAACATACCAGAAATTATGGGATATAGCAACAGCAGTTCTAAGATGGAAGTTTATTGTGATAAATGCCTACATTAAGGAAAAAAAAAACCCAAGTAAACAACCTAACTTTACACCATAAGGAACTAGAAAAAGAGGAACAAACTAAGCCCAAAGTTAGCAAAAAGAATTAACTTTCAAAATAAATAAGGAACTCAAATAACTCAATAGAAAATAAGACAACCTGATTTTTTAATGGCAAGGGATCTGACTACACATTTCTCAAAAGACTACATAAAAATGGCTGACAGGTATATGAAAAATTCTGAACACCACTAATCATCAGGGAAATGCAAACCAAAATTCCAGTGAGGGATCAAATCTATTAGAATGGCTGTTATCAAAGAGATGAAAAATAACAAGTGTTGGCATAGATGTGGACAAAAGGCAACCCTTGCACACTGTTGGTGGGAATATATATATTAGTACAGCAATTAAAAGAAAAACAGTACAGAGATTTCTCAAAAAAAGTTGAAAACATAACCGTATGATCCAGCTATCTTACTTCTGGGTATATATTCAGTGTAATTGAAATTACTATTTCAAAGAGATGTCTTCACTCCCATGTTCTTTACAGGATTATTCACAATAAACAAGATATGGAATCAACTTAAGTGTCCATCAACAAATGAATGGAATTTTAAAATGAGATGTGTGTGTGGAGGTGGTGGGTTGTGAGTGTGTGTGTGTATGCATGCATGTATAAAGGAATAGTGTTCATCCATAGAAGGAAGGGAATTTTGTCTGTTGCAATAACATAGATGAACCTGGAGGACATTATGCTAAGTGAAATAAGCCAGGCACAGAAAGACAAATGCCACATGACTTCTCTCATAGGTGGAGTCTGAACAAGTCAAACTCATACAAATGGAGAGTAAAATGTTGGTTGCTACAGGCTGGCAGTTGGGGGTACATGGGATATTTTGGCTAAACAATACAAAATTTCAGTTAGACAGGAGAAACAAGTTGAAGAAATCTATTGTACATCATCATGACTGTAGTTACTAACAAAATATTGTATACTTGAAAATTTCTAAGACAATAGGTTTTAAGTGTTCTCACCATAGACAAAAAAACGATAAGTACGTGAGTGAGGTAATACATATATTAAATGACTTGATTTAGCCATTTCACAATGTGTACATATATTAAGGCATTACATTGTACACCATAAATATTGCAATTTTTACTTGTTAATTTAAAAATAAATTTTAAAATTTGAGCTTTTGAAAAGATTAGCAGTATTGACAAATCTTTATCAAGAAAGACTAAAAGTAAGAAAAACAGAAAAAGCATGGAAGTTGCCAAAGTTAGAAATGAAAGTGGGAGCTTCACCAATTATCCTACAGAAATTGAAAGGATTTTTAAGAAATACTATGAACAGCTTTATGGAAACAAATTAGGTATCTTAGATGAAATGAACAAACTTCAAGAAACTTGAAGTAAAATGAATAAATTATTAAAATTGACTCAGGAAGAAATAGAAAATGTGAATATATCTATAATAACTACAGAAATCAAATTAATAATTAAAAAATCTTCCAACAAAGAAAAATATAGGAACAGATGGCTTCACTGTTTAATTCAATCAAGCATTTAAAAAAAGAAATAATAGCAATTCTTTATAAAATATTCTAAAAATGAAGAAAAGAACACTTCCCAACTCATTTTATGAAGGTAGTATTACCCTGATACCAAAGCACACAAAGACATCACAAAAATGGAAACTACATACAGATATTCCTAATAAATATACATGTAAAATACTTCAACAAAATAATAGCAAACGGAATCCACAACATATAAAAAACAATTGCACATGATGATCAAGTTGGATTTATTCTAGAAATGAAGGGTTGGTTTTATATCTGAAAATCAATTACTGTAATGCACCATATTAATTGAGTAAAGAACAAAAAAAACCTGATCACTTCAATAGATGTAGAAAAAAAAATTGACAAAATCCAACAGCTATTTATAATGAAAGCTCTTGACAAATTCTGAATAGAAGATAATTTCCTCAACCTGGTAAAGGGAATCTATGAAAAACCTGCAGCTGACATCATACTTTTTTTTTTTTTTTTTTTTTTTTTTGAGACAGAGTCTCTCACTCTGTTGCCCAGGCTGGAGTGCAGTGGCATGATCTCGGCTCACTGCAACCTCCACTTCCCAGGTTCAAGTGATTCTCCTGTCTCAGCCTTTCAAGTAGCTGGGATTACAGGTGCCTGCCACCACACCCAACTAATCTTTGTTTTTTTAGTAGAGACAATGTTTCACCATGTTGGCCAGGCTGGTCTCGAACTCCTGACCTCAGGTGATCCACCCGCCTCGGCCTCCCAAAGTGCTAAGATTGAATTTTCCCCCTAATATGAAGGAGTCAGGGCTGTTCACTCCAACATCATACACACAAATTAACCAAAATGGATCACAGCCTAAAAGGAAAGAGCTAAGACTACAAAGTTTTTAAATAAAACACAGAAGAAAAGATAGGAGAAAATATCTATCATTTTGGTTGTATAAAACTTTCTTAGACACAAAGACAAAAGCACCATCTATAATTTTTTTAAGTGAATAAGTTGGACTTTGCCAAAATTAAAAATGTTTGTGTTTTAAAAGACACCATTAAGAAAAAAAAAAAAGACCAGCTTCAGACTAGGAGAAATTATTTGCAAATCATCTCATAAAGGACTCATACCAATAAACTACAAAGAATTCTTAAAACTAAGAAGAAAATGATATAATTAAAATGGGCAAAAGTATAGATTAGACACTTACCAAAAAAGATACATGAATTTTTAATAAGCACATAAAAGACAGTCAACATCATTAGTTATTAGGGAAATGTAAGTTGGTACCACAATGTAATACCACATCACACTGACAAGAATGGCTGTAACAAAGAAAGCAGACAATAACAAGTTTTTTAAAAGATTGTGGAGAAAATGGAAATACACATTTCTGGTGGGGTAATTAAAATGATATTACTGCTTTGGAAAACAGTTTGGTGATTTCTTAAAAATTTAAATACAAATTTATCATATAATCTATCAATTTCACTTCTAGGTATCTATTCAAGACAAATGAAAGCATATGTCTATACAAAGATTTGTAATTGAATGTTTCTGGCAGCATTGTTTATCATAGTCAAAACCTGGAAAAAAAACCCCACATGCCCATTTACTAATGAATGGATAAATAAAATGTGGTACATTCATGCAGTGGAATACTATTTAGCAATAACAATTAATTAACTACTCCTGCATGCAAAACATAAACTTCAAAAATATTATGCTAAGTGAAAAAAGCTAGACACAGAAGATCAGAAGATGACACATTATATACTTCCACTCATATAAAATGTCCAGAAAAGAAAATCTGTAGAGAAAAAAAAAAAGCAGGTTGCTTGCCTGGGGCTGGGAGTGAAACTTGAGACTGACTTCAGATAGGCATAAGGAATCTTTTTGGAGAGACAGAAATAATGAAATCGTGATGCTATTTGCAGAACTGTAAATTTATTAAAAATTATTGTGTACTTAAAATGGGCAAAATGTATGCTTTGTAAATTAAATGAGTAATTCTATTTAAAAATTCATACAGGTAGTAACTTGTAAATCTAGGCATTTTTGTCTTCCCAGTCTAAGCTACACTACATGGTTTCTCTAAATATACTAATGTTCATGACAGATACTTTTATCCTTGGACTATTTAGGGATGTAGTAGAAGTGCTTAAAGACTAATTCCTAGCTAATGGCTAGATGTGGAATAATAATTAGAAATTAGACTGAGGCAGGAGAATCGCTTGAACCTGGGAGGCAGAGGTTGCAGTGAGCTGAGATCACGCCATTGCACTCCAGCCTGGGTGACAGAGCAATACTCCAACTCAAAAAAAAAAAAAAAAAAAAAAAGAAAGTAATTAAATCAGACTTACGGTAAAACTTTTATTATTAACATAGTCATAAGTCTATATTGGGAAATAATGCCAAGGAAAGAAAAAGTTGGTTGAGATAAGATTACTGATCCAAGATACGACATATAATTTTTGCAAAACACTAACAGCTATTAGAAGGATTTTTTTGCTCAGGGATGCTAATAAACACTGTCAGGTTTTTATCAATAGAAGTATCAATTAGGCATATATTAGAGAATTTGCTAGAAATTCTTCTCTGCTTTGGACATTAACCAGGCAAACTCTATTTTATTTCCAGCTTATGCTGAAATATAAATTAGGTCTGATTGAATAACACTAAATTGGAAAGCATAGTTTATAACTTTCAAGATCATATTTAGCCTTCTTAATACGTCCCTAGAGCAAATTCCCTTCAGGGCATATTAAATTTATATGGCATTATATAAGAGCTTGTGAATTGCAAGCAACACATATTAGTAACAGAGAAAAAAGCTAGACACAATATTAAAATCAAGCTACATGAGATATGTTTCTTCTATTTTCAGAAACTAGTATCATTTTTTGTTTATTCAAAGGGTACTGAAATTAGTTAAATGCATATAAGCCAACTGCCTATGTTTATTTGAAAACCTGTCCTTTAAAAATAGAAATTCTTACAGGGCATATGTTCCTCAGTCTCTTCATTTTAATATTTTCCTTTGTACCTACTCATGTTTAATAATCAAGATACAACAAACCAAAAAATTATGTAGAATACTTGATACTGAAACATTAAATTGAATTAGAATTACTATACCACGTTCAATAGAGAGAATTAAAGTGTAAGTTAGTTTGGTTAAAGATAAACAAAACTGTGTTTCCTATCTCAGAATAAGGTTATTTTGAAATAAAAATAGTAAACATTCTTAGTAATGCATATTTATACGAATAAAGTTGATAAACTTGATGTATGTTTAAAATATGGCACAGAATTTTATAAAATTTAACAGATAGTATGTGATAGTAAGCTGTAGAAAAGAGGAAAATATATTAGATTTTTATCATGTTGGAAGATGACAATAGAATGTCTGGAGACTAGAACTAGGACTTCATTTCAAAAATAATTTCTCTCGATATGATGCCTACATGTTGCATTATCTATAATGGAGATTTCACTTATCTTTATTTTTATATTGCACGATTAAGGTGACATGATTTTTCAAATTCTTATTTTATAGTCCTTTAGGCAAATCTAAGTGAGATGTGTTAAACTATTAAATGTAAAAAATTAGACTATTTAGTAATATCTTCTCACTCACCATTTATTCTGATTCTTGTGACAGGCAAATAATAAAATTTCTTTGATGTTATCTTTCAGTATTGGTCTGAGTCCATGCAATGGTTAACCAGATAAGTTTTGCTTTAACAAGGGGAACCGTTTCCTTCTACATGGCAAGGATCTATAATTTGTGTGCAGATAAATCATCAAACAATCTATTGGGGACATTTGTCAAACACTGGTGATAAAACCCTCATATAGTCCTATTGATCTTAGAACTAAAGTGTCCTTGAGACATGCACTTATACCAGATAATACAAGTATACAGAATAAGTATGGTTCTTGAACTAAACAATCAAATAATACCATGCAGTATATAGACAGGTATAATCCTGAGTCGCACATTTATCATAGGTGATATTCTTGCTGCTGCCATTGCTCTGAATTGCAATTACCACATCTATAAAATGGAAAACCTTACTGAAATTCAAAGTTTTCTTCAGGTTCAACGTTTAATGATATTTTTTAAAAGATCATTAATCTTTAAGCACATAAAATTAAGTAGACATAAGTCAGAATTCTGATGAACAGTTACAGGTAGACGAGTTGATGAAAATTTTCATGAGTACCTAAACATCTTTACCTCATAGATTTATGAATAAGAACTTAAGGCCAGGAGCGGCGGCTCACACCTGTAATCCCAGCACTTTGGGAGGTTGAGGCAGGTGGATCACCTGAGTTCGGGAGTTCGAGACCAGCCTGACCAACATGGTGAAACCCCATCTCTACTAAAAATACAAAATTAGCAAGGCATCGTGGCACATGCCTATAATCCCAGCTACCTGGGAGGCTGAGGCAGGAGAATCGCTTGAACATGGGAGGCGGAGGTTGCAGTGAGCCGAGATCGCGCCATTGCATCCAGCCTGGGCAAAAAGAGTGAAACTCCATCTCAAAGGAAAAAAAAAAAAGAATAAGAACTTAAAATGGAATTATACTTGTATACATTTGCTTAAGAAATAATTTTCTAGAATTTCTTTTATAAATTAAGAAAAAATAGGAATTCTGGTTTTGGTAATGCCCAACCTTACTCTGAGAACAACTTTCTAACTAAGAACAACAAGAAAAAGAAAAAAACAAAAACAAGTTTAAAATGTATGTGTGGAAGTGTCAAAGAGTTTATGGGACAACAAAAATCAAAGAGTGAAAGTCCAGCATAAGATACCCAGTGAGATGAACTCAGCATTTAAGGCCATGTTTATCACAGAAACTGATGCTGATTTCAGAAATGGCTGAGAGGCTGAAAAGATTGACAAGTCTTTTTGACAGATGTACAAGTTTAAGAGTTCAAAAAATAAAGTTAACTTGCTGTCAAGTAGAAAGGGCTTTGGAAAATCACAAAGTCTATGACTTGGAAACCAAAAGGACCATACCGTAGAAGACAGGTAAGCTGAGGATACACCAGTCTTCGCAAGAAGTGATCGCTAACGGCCCTACTTTCCATCTAAAGCAAACTTAAAAGTGCTCTGGGAAAAAGGGTACATTTCTCTAGGGCTCAAATAATTTTGACAATTTCTTATTCGCAATATCCAGCACAGAATAAAAATAAAAGTCACTACAAGCAGATGTTATTAAATGACAAAATCGAGGAAACAACAGAGAATATAACAGATTCAAAAATCAGGTAATACAATTATCACAAACTTTAAAATAATTCTTCATAAGGATACAGAAGTCAGATTGAGAACGTTATCATAGAACAGTAAGCCATAAAAAGATGCAAATGGAATGTATTCAACGGAAAAAAATCAATAATTGAAAATAAAAACAACGAATGTGTTTAACAGCAGATTATACATGTCCAAAGAGAAAATTAATTACCTGTAATACAGGAAAGAAGAAAATGGCCAAACTAATTAATAGAGGAAAAAAGAGAAAAAAACTAAGGCTTATGGGATGAAAGAAGTTGATATGTTATTGGAGAACTGAAGGTGAGAATAGAAAGAAGGAACAGAAAAAAAGATACTGGCTGAGAATTTTCCAAAAGTGACAAAGGATATCAAACCACAAATTCAAGAAGCTAAAGGAAAGAAAAGATGGATTCAAAAGGAATTATAGGCAGGCCATATTTTAACTTTTGAAAACCAAGTAAAAACAGAAACTTTTTTTCTTTTTTTTTTATTATACTTTAAGTTCTGGGGTACATGTGCAGAACATGCAGTTTTGTTACATCGGTTTACATGTGCCATGATGGTTTGCTGTACCCATCAACCTGTCATCTACATTAGGTATTTCTCCTAATGCTATCCCTCCCCTAGCCCCACCTCCCCTACAGGCCCCAGTGTGTGATGTTCCCCTCCCTGTGACCATGTGTTCTCATTGTTCAACTCCCACTTATGAGTGAGAACATGCGGTGTTTGGTTTTCTGTTTTTGTGTTAGTTTGCTGAGAATGATACTTTCCAGCTTCATCCATGTCCCTAAAAAGGAAAATCTTTAAAGTATCCAGAGGGAATAAAACACAGTAACTTCAAGGAACCAAGAATAAGTCTGGCAATAGACTTCTCAATAGAAATTATGACAGTAAGAAGACATAGAATTAAATCTACAAAATGATGTAAGAAAACAAATGCCAAGAAGGAATTCTGAGTGAAAACACAAAATATTGGGTGAATCTAAATGAATGTAAATGGTATAAAATATTAACAATAAAGCATTATGAAGTTTAAAATACATAATGTGAAGAATTAAAATACCTGAAAACAATAACATATCAAGTTAGTATATTCTAAGAATATTGTTTTCTCTGGAAAGTAAGAAAAAGTTTTATCTGTGTTAACTTTGATAAGTCAGTTACGTATGTGGCATGACCTGCATCTTTAGGGAAATCACTAAAATAATTTTCAAGGAATATGTAACATAAAATTACAGAAAGGAAAGGCATAATAAAATATACCTTTTAACTTACAGTATGGGAAGAAGAAGAACAGGGAAGGGATAGAAAATTAAACGGTAATTTAAACTTAAAAATTCAAATAATAATAATAACATTATGTATGTGGATTACCAGACTGAATGACAGAATAAATTCCAACTACATCTATTTGAAAGAGACACACCTTAAATAAAAGAACACAGAAAGTAAAACGACAGAAAAATTTACATTATAAATACATTAAATAATAGGAAGCTGGAAAAGGCTTTAATATAACTTGAGATAAAGAGAACACTTCATATTGGTAAAAAGTTTGGTTCACAAGAAAGATGGAATAATTCTAAATTTGTATGTAAATAACATGTAAAGAAAAATGTAACTTGCAAAATTATATAACTAAAAGGAAAAATAAAAATCTATCATTAACATGTGATATTTTAATTGATCCTAGTGTCTGTTTTAAAAAGCAATCAAAAATTGGTAATGACATCAAAGAATTGAACAACAGTAAAAAGAAAAAATAAGATAAATTGATGTAACTTTTAGATACTGAATACACCTCTAAACATTGAAACGTACCTATCTTTTCCCATTTCCCAAAAGATTCATTTAAAAAATCATATCCTGAGATATAAAACAATGTCTAAACACTCTGAGAACTGATGATACATAGTATATAATCCCGTACCATGAGTAATTAGGCTAGAACATTGTCAAAAATAAATAAAACTAGAATTTCCCCCTTAACGTAAGAACTTCCTGCTTAAACTATAGATTCAGAGGGAATTATAATTTAAATTCAAACGTATTTCAAAATAATCTATATGATATTTTTAAAACATAGCCTCAAATTCCTTTGTCACCTCTGTCATTAAGAAGTGAGTTCCATATACCTTGCCCTTGAATTTGGACTCTGTGCTTTACCAATAACAGAAGAAGGAAAACAGGCTATGCTAGTATCCAGCCCCTGTCTTAGGGAACTGGTAGGTTCTACTTTCTGTCTTCTTTGGACACTCACTCTTGGATTCCAGACACCATGCTGTAAAGCAAGTGGGGCAGCCATTACCAAACTCATGTAAAGAAGCCCACTTAGAGGGCAGCAAAGGCCCCAGTTTGAGTGAACCATCCTAAAAGTAGAATCTGCCCCCACACAAGCCATCCTGACCAATGCCACATACAGCACAGACAAGATTTCTTTATCAAGTCTGACCAAACAGCAGTCTCATGAGCTAACTAAATGATAGATGCAGAAACCAGAAACAATTTGCTAATGGCACAATATGACTGTTTGAGGAAGCAAGTCTGGAAAAGTGGAAGAGTATGCATTTCACTTGTTCAGCAATTTATTGAACCAGAATCTAGAAAGAAGATCCTGTTTTAGTAGGTGGGCTTACAAAACATTCTCCCATCAATGGCTGAGATGTTAAAATTATGTCTTACACAGTTTGCTTTTTAGCTGAAATACCAAACGTGTGTTTAAGGATGACAGGGTAATTGGAGGCGCCTGATTGCTTGCTTTCTTCCCAGAATTCATAGACATTATTTCTGTGCTATAACTTTGTATGAGCAGGTTGAAGGCCATATAACTCACCTCAAGAATAACCTGAAAGAATGACATAAAAGTTAGAATTCTCCATTTTCTCACATATGCGAGTGAATATGCAATTCAACTCTTCCAAGGGAAAAAAAAAAAAGAACTTGGAGGAAAAGAAACTAGAACTGAATAACGTAAGTCAGATACTTTCATAGACTGTAAGCTACAAAGAAAGAATGTTAAGGGCAGCCAGAGAGAAAGGTCAGGTTACCCACAAAGGGAAGCCCATCAGACTAACAGCTGACCTCTCCACAGAAACTCTACAAGCCAGAAGAGAGAGGGGACCAATATTCAACATTCTTAAAGAAAAGAATTTTCAACCCAGAATTTCATATCCAGCCAAACTAAGCTTCATAAGTGAAGGAGAAATAAAATCCTTTACAGACAAGCAAATGCTGAGAGATTCTGTCACCACCAGGCCTGCCCTAAGAGAGCTCCTGAAGGAAGCACTAAACATGGAAAGGAACAACCGGTACCAGCCACTCCAAAAACATGCCAAATTGTAAAGACCATCAAGGCTAGGAAGAAACTGCATCAACTAATGAGCAAAATAAACAGCTAACATCATAATGAGAGGATCAAATTCACACATAACAATAACCTTAAATGTAAATGGGCTAAATGCTCCAATTAAAAGACACACACTGGCAAATTGGATAAAGAGTCAAGACCCATCAGTGTGCTGTATTCAGGAAACACATCTCACCTGCAGAAACACACATAGGCTCAAAATAAAGGGATGGAGGAAGATCTACCAAACAAATGGAAAACAAAAAAAGGCAGGGGTTGCAATCCTAGTCTCTGATAAAACAGACTTTAAACCAACAAAGATCAAAAGACAAAGAAGGCCATTACATAATGGTAAAGGGATCAATTCAACAAGAAGAGCTAACTATCCTAAATATATATGCACCCAATACAGGAGCACCCAGATTCATAAAGCAAGTCCTTAGGGACCTACAAAGAGACTTAGACCCCCACACAATAATAATGGGAGACTTAACAACCCACTGTCAACATTAGACAGATCAATGAGACAGAAAGTTAACAAGGATATACAGGAATTGATCTCAGCTCTGCACCAAGCGCATCTAATAGACATCTACAGAACTCTCCACCCTAAATCAACAGAACATACATTCTCAGCACCACACCTATTCCAAAATTGACCACATACTGGGAAGTAAAGCACTCCTCAGCAAATGTAAAAGAACAGAAATTATAACAAACTGTCTCTCAGACCACAGTGCAATCAAACTAGAACTCAGGATTAAGAAACTCACTCAAAACTGCTCAACTACGTGGAAACTGAACCACCTGGTCCTGAATGACTACTGGGTACATAACGAAATGAAGGCAGAAATAAAGATGTTCTTTGAAACCAACGAGAACAAAGACACAACATACCAGAATCCCTGGGACACATTCAAAGCAGTGTGTAGAGGGAAATTTATAGCACTAAATGCCCACAGGAGAAAGCAGGAAAGATCTAAAATTGACACCCTAACGTCACAATTAAAGGAACTAGAGAAGCAAGGGCAAACACATTCAAAAGCTAGCAGAAGGCAAGAAATAACTAAGATCAGAGCAGAACTGAAGGAAATAGAGACACAAAAAAACCCTTCAAAAAATCAATGAATCCAGGACCTGGTTTTTTGAAAAGATCAACAAAATTGATAGACTGCTAGCAAGACTAATAAAGAAGAAAAGAGAGAAGAATCAAACAGATGCAATAAAAAATGATAAAGGGGATATCACCACCAATCCCACAGAAATACAAACTATCATCAGAGAATACTACAAACACCTCTATGCAAATAAACTAGAAAATCTAGAAGAAATGGATAAATTCCTTGACACATACACCCTCCCAAGACTAAACCAGGAAGAAGTTGAATCTCTGAATAGATCAATAACAGGCTCTGAAATTGAGGCAATAATTAATAGCTTACCAACCAAACAAAATCCGGGACCAGATGGATTCACAGCCGAATTCTACCAGAGGTACAAGGAGGAGCTGGTACCATTCCTTCTGAAACTATTCCAATCAATAGAAAAAGAGGGAATCCTCCCTAACTCATTTTATGAGGCCAGCATCATCCTGATACCAAAGCCTGGCAGAGACACAACAAAAAAAGAGAATGTTAGACCAATATCCCTGATGAACATCGGTGCAAAAATCCTCAATAAAATACTAGCAAACTGAATCCAGCAGCACATCAAAAAGCTTATCCACCATGATCAAGTGGGCTTCATCCCTGGGATGCAAGGCTGGTTCAACATAAGCAAATCAATAAACGTAATCCAGCATATAAACAGAACCAGTGACAAAAACCATATGATTACCTCAATAGATGCAGAAAAGGCCTTTGACAAAATTCAACAGCCCTTCATGCTAAAAACTCTCAATAAATTAGGTACTGATAGGACATATCTCAAAATAATAAGAGCTATCTATGACAAACCCACAGCCAATATCATACTGCGTGGGCAAAAACTGGAAGCATTCCCTTTGAAAACTGGCACAAGACAGGGATGTCCTCTCTCACCACTCCTATTCAACATAGTGTTAGAAGTACTGGCCAGGGCAATCAGGCAGGAGAAGGAAATAAAGGGTATTCAATTAGGAAAAGAGGAAGTCAAATTGTCCCTGTTTGCAGATGACATGATTGTATATCTAGAAAACCCCATCATCTCAGCCCAAAATCTCCTTAAGTTGATAGGCAACTTCAGCAAAGTCTCAGGATACAAAATCAATGTGCAAAAATCACAAGCATTCTTATACACCAATAATAGACAAACAGAGAGCCAAACCATGAGTGAACCGCCATTCACAATTGCTTCAAAGAGAATAAAATACCTAGGAATCCAACTTACAAGGGATGTGAAGGACCTCTTCAAGAAGAACTACAAACCACTGCTCAATGAAATAAAAGAGGATACAAACAAACGGAAGAACATTCCATGCTCATGGGTAGGAAGAATCAATATCGTGAACATGGCCATACTGCCCAAGGTAATTTATAGATTCAATGCCATCCCCATCAAGCTACCAATGCCTTTCTTCACAGAATTGGAAAAAACTACTTTAAAGTTCATATGGAACCAAAAAAGAGCCCGCATTGCCAAGTCAATCCTAAGCCAAAAGAACAAAGCTGGAGGCATCATGCTACCTGACTTCAAACTATACTACAAGGCTATAGTATATCAAAACAGAGATATAGACCAATGGAACAGAACAGAGGCCTCAGAAATAATGCCGCATATCTACAACCATCTGATCTTTGACAAACCTGACAAAAACAAGAAATGGATAAAGGATTCCCTATTTAACAAATGGTGCTGGGAAAACTGGCTAGCCATATGTAGAAAGCTGAAACTGGATCCCTTCCTTACACCTTATACAAAAATTAATTCAAGATGGATTAAAGACCTAAATGTTAGACCCAAAACCATAGAAACCCTGGAAGAAAACCTGGGCAATACCATTCAGGACATAGGCATGGGCAAGGACTTCATGTCTCAAACACCAAAAGCAATGGCAACAAAAGCCAAAATTGACAAATGGGATCTAATTAAACTAAAGAGCTTCTGCATAGCAAAAGAAACTACCATCGGAGTGAATAGGCAACCTACAGAATGGGAGAAAATTTTTGCAATTTACTCATCTGACAAAGGGCTAATATCCAGAATCTACAATGAAGTCAAACACATTTACAAGAAAAAAACAACCCCATCAACAAGTGGGTGAAGGATATGAACAGACACTTCTCAAAAGAAGACATTTATGTAGCCAACAGACACATGAAAAAATGCTCATCATCACTGGCCATCAGAGAAATGCAAATCAAAACCACAATGAGATACCATCTCACACCAGTTAGAATCATTCAAAAGTCAGGAAACAACAGGTGCTGGAGAGGATGTGGAGAAATAGGAACACTTTTACACTGTTGGTGGGACTGTAAACTAGTTCAACCATTGTGGAAGTCAGTGTGGTGATTCCTCAGGGATCTAGAACTAGAAATACCATTTGACCCAGCCATCCCATTACTGGGTATATACCCAAAGGATTATAAATCATGCTGCTATAAAGACACATGCACATGTATGTTTATTGCGGCACTATTCGCAATAGCAAAGACTTGGAACCAAGCCAAATGTCCAACAATGATAGACTGGATTAAGAAAATGTGGCACATATACACCATGGAATACTATGCAGCTGTAAAAAAGGATGAGTTCATGTCCTTTGTAGGGACATGGATGAAGCTGGAAACCATCATTCTCAGCAAACTATCGCAAAGACAAAAACCAAACACCGCATGTTCTCACTCACAGGTGGGAATTGAACAATGAGAAAACATGGACACCGGAAGGGGAACATCACACACCGGGGCCTGTTGTGGGGTGGGGGGAGGGGGGAGGGATAGCATTAGGAGATATACCTAATGTTAAATGACAAGTTAATGGGTGCAGCACACCAACATGGCACATGTATACATACGTAACAAACCTGCACATTGTGCACATGTACCCTAAAACTTAAAGTATAATTTAAAAAATAAAAAATATATAAAAATAAAAAACAGACAGACATGACTAAAAACTGATAGAAGAAAAACAAGCCCAGATTTGTAATGTCTATCCTGGACTTCCACATTTTAAAGATGGAGTTTGACAGATTATGATAAAAAGTATTCTAAGAATTAAACAGAGAGGCTAGAAAGCAAATGGAAAAGAAAATGGCAATATGGCAAAGACTCGGATCAGATCCCAGGCCCTCAAAATCAGAAGATGATAAAGATTTTCAGCCAAGTTATACCTCATTACAAACCACTGTGAGTGAAGAATACAGGTATGAAAGAATGAGATGGGAATTTTTCATTACCATTCCAAGGTGAAGAGGTGGGCTGTTCTATCTTACCAGCAGTAAATTGATAAATTCTATGTCAATTTCACTATCACAGAGCTCTGCAACATTTCATAACTGCCAATTTGGGCTTCAGACTATAGAAACCCCCAAATCTCTGTCTAAAAGTCTAAATACTTCCACGATTTGTAATTCTTGATTAGATGTTATTTTTCTCTCTTAAACTGAAAAATGCTTCATGGTTTTTAAAATTTCTTCCATTTCCATTTGACATACTCATTCTCCCAATACTTTAGGCTGAGAGTAAATGGAATTTATTCTAAAATTTTTAAAAAATATATATAGACACTTCTTGCATCTCAGTTAAGGAAAGGAAGATATGTTGCTTACAGCCACATGCTATCTATGAATATATTTACTTGGCTTCTCTAGTTGTGATCTCGCCTCACTGCAACCTCCACCATCAGCGTTCAAGTGATTCTCCTGCCTCAGCCCCCTGAGTAGTTGGGATTACAGGCATGAGCCACCATGTCCAGCTAATTTTTTGTAATTTTAGTAGATGGGTTTTGCTATAATGGCTAGGCTGGTCTCAAACTCCTGGCCTCAAGCTATCCACCCACCCCAGCCTCCCAAAGTGAGGGGATTACTCACTTTGTAAGTGAGCATGAGCCACTGCTCCTGTTCATCAGTGCACTTTATTCTTTTTGCTAATCATACTTGTCAATGTTTGTAACATGAATGTTCATGTCTTGTAGACCATTCGTTAGAGCGCTTGTCTCTGATTCTCCAATCAGGTGCATGCTTACTAAGAATGCGTGAGGCTGTTTCTTATGTTTTAAGCTAATTGTGCTTAATATGTCTATGAAGTTTAATTCAATTATAATAAAAATAATAAATATGAGGGAAAGACAATAATTGTTTCTTCTAAGAAAATTAATTTGAATGCTTTGGAAAGGTACATAATTTAAACATGCTTTTGAATTAGACATGAATGAGAGTCCAGGAAAAGCTTAGGAACATAATTAAAAAGATTTTGCCAGGTGCAGGTGCTCACACCTGTAATCTCAGCACTTTGGGAGGCAGAGGCAGGAGGATCACTTGAGGTCAGGACTTTGAGACCAGCCTGGGTAACATAGTGAAACTCCATCTCCACAAAACCTGAAAAATAAATAGTAGCAGGGCACAACAGTGCACACCTGTAGTCCCAGGTACTTTGGAGCCTGAGGCAGGAAGATCACTTGAGCACGGGAGTTCAAAGCTGCAGTGAGCTATGATTATGCCACTGAACTCCAGCCTGAATGACAGAGCAAGACCCCATCTCAAAAAAGAAACAAACAAACAAAACCTTGCTCCTAGATGGCTACACAGGTTTTTTAATCGTACTTTACACACACACTCACACACACACAAAAAGCCATGGAGGGAAGTGGTGGAAAGGGGGACTGTTGTTTAATGGGAATATAGCTTGAGATTTACCAGATGAAAAATTTCTGGAGATCTCTTTCACAATAATGTGAATACACCTAACGCTACTGAACTGTACACTTAAAAAAAATGCCAAGCTAGTTATCCTAGATGACAGAGTTATAAGCATATTTTTCCTAAGAACTGCAATTAAACATTGCCCTTTTAAAAAATTGGTTTCATATCAAAAGACGTACCAAGAAATAATGCGCATTCACATGTTGAGTGAACATTAAACATAAAATTCATAGGAGTGATAATTTTTATGATTTTCCACTTTAACCAAATCGATTTTGTTCAATACATTGGTGGTGAATATTATTGTATATAAATACTTGTGGTTACTAAATCTAAGAAGGGAGTCTTTCTCAACTTTGGTGTTGGCGTTTTAAAATCATGTTTCTTGGATAGAATCCTAGAGAACCAAGACAGAGCTTTCAGAGCTGTCATGGTGGGGATGAAGATGGGAGAGGGCATCTAAGAGTTGGCAAGAGGGTATAAGTCAGTGGGTAAAAAAGTACACCTAAGACTCCAGGACCCCAACTCCTGGACTGTAAATTCTTCTCCAGTGAAAACTCACGGATTTCATTAGTTATATGTTGTGTTCCTGCAGAGCTCACAAAACGAAAGGTTCTATGGATTTTAAGTTAGAGAAATATGGTTTCAGATAGCAAAAGACAAGGAGAAGGAAGTCACTTTTACTGGGTGCTTATTATGTGCCAGGAACTATCCTAGACCTTTTAAAAATGTAGACACTTTTTATTTCACCTTCACAGCAAATTTAAGAGAGAGTTATTATTATCTAATTTTATTGAGAGAAAATTATGCCTCAAATACATTAATTAATTCAGGCAAAATCACAATGCTTATAATAAAAGTCAGGTATTTTTTCAAATCCCTTTTGTTTCAACTTTACCTAGCAGGTCCTTTTGTCTCACAGATGTCAATTATGTGTTCGTGTCACAAATTATCACACAGGTATATATATATATATATATATATATATATATATATATATATATATATGTATGTATGTATGTATGAAAATGTTTTCTTGGAACAGCATATGTCATTATTTTATTTTCAAAAAGCATTCAGCATTGGGAAGAAGCAGTAACCCAATTATGACTTTAAATAAATGTGAAAGCAATATTCCGAGGCAGGTTATTCAATGTGTTAACAGAAATATTTTAATGAACTGCCCAGGGAAATTCAGAAGCAGAATTAAAGAGTGATGATACTCTCATTTGGACTTAAGGCTAAGTTGCATTGCATTAAATTTTCAATTCTCAGACTCATATTATAAGGGGACTTAGTGTAAATAAAAGCACTGAAAAATTTGGACTATGGCACCTTAACATCCCCACCCATGAAAGGTACAAGCCAAGAAGAGCTTGGACCATGTGTAATTCTGCACAGTTCATTGTACTTGTTCTGAAACAAATCATCTTGAAGGAGCAAGTTCAAAGCAAAGTCAGAAGAAAGCATCTGTGTTTCTAGCTAGGAAATCGATTATTTCAGCTAAAGGAAACTCAGATATTCGTTTCACCAGAAAAAATTTACATGCAAACAAAGATACCACACCAGCATGGCACATGTATACATATGTAACTAACCTGCACATTGTGCACATGTACCCTAAAACTCAAAGTATAATAATAATAAAATAAAGAAAAAAAAAACAAAGATACCACTCTTTACAATTTAGCTGTCGTATGAGCAAGAAAGTTAATCACTTTCTTTTGACTCCATGAAGATGAAAGGTTGAGGGCAAAAAAAATTTGTTGGAATTCCTAATACAAGTTCCATGATACTCTGTTTGTTGATTCTACTTCAAGTTTTTATAGTCACGCATACAGTTTGGTCATAAAAATTCTCATACACATTATATTTTTATGAATTAATTATTCAGAGACATAACTCTTGGAATTTAATAAGCTTATGATATTCTTCTCTTGGACAAATTATAGAATCACATTTCTGCTTCAACTTATCTCCACTTTTCTATCATCTGATAACTCTCAACTCTTGAATAAAATTTGAGGTAACAAACAAATATAAAAGACACAATGCAACAAAAAGTAGTCACATGATCCTTAAATTGCCTTTACTATATTGCTGTGCAATCAAGGGCAAGACTTTTCTTTGTTCTGATACTCGCTGAATAGCAATACAGACATGCGATCTTCACATTACTATGATTAGAAAAAGGGGAGGGGGGAGGACAATCTCAAATCAATTTTACATTAAAGCAAAGAATTTTTGGCAGTATTGCTTTCCCTTGCAATCTCTGTAGGCACCAACAAAAGCACCACTTGTGGTGGGGGGAGAAGGTGTTTTATGAAAAAAAAATAGCTTTTTCAAAGGCTGTTTATTGCTTTAAGTGTTGTTTAAAAGCTTTTTAAAAAGCAGCTTTTTTCTTCTCCTTAGGCATCAACAGGGGATAATTGCCTTAACACGCTTTTAAATAACCCTGTTTAAGACACATAGGAGCATCAAAAGCCTCTGCTTAGAAAACTTTTTACTTAACTGGATTGTGTGGGAGTGGAGCTGGGGTCAGCCATAGAAACTCTCTCTACAAATAATGACACTCTGAATTTTCCTTCGGGATGATTTATTTTATTTTATTTAAATTTTCATATAGTAAAATGGAATTCTTTGCGTACATGTCTATGAAAGTTAACACATGCATAGATTCATGTAACCACCGTGATGATCAGGTTACAGACAAGTCTATCACCCCAGAAAAAATCTCTGTCATGTTCCTTTGGAGTCACACGCTCCTCCCCTCAAACTCTGGCAACCACTGATCCATTCATCATTACACTTTTGTCTCGCAGAGTGTCATACAATGAGTAACATGTTTCGTTTGTGACTAGGAAGATGACTGACCTGAGAGCTGAAGTGTGACTTATGATTTTTTTCTGCATAGAAGATGAACGGAGGCAATGAAATCAGCTGTGAAATATGAAACTCTTGAGCCCTCTGTGGCAGGTGCTCACCCAATGTGCTTTAGAGTCTCTAAGCCAGGTAGTTTGCAGGTTCCAGAAGTATAAACTGCAACCTGGGCAAATCAGAATGGATAAGGTCCTTCTACAGAGGGGAACATTCAAATTCTGCAATGGCTGCAAGTTGTGATATCAGGACTAGAAGTACCAAAGCTTCTTTTCAATAACTATTGTATTATTAAGTAGGATAATTTCTTAGGTATTTTTGTCACCCCAAAAGTTAACTGGGTTGTCTTTTATCTACAGCAAGCCAGGGCATGTTATAGCACCACAAGGATATGAAAGAAGAAAATTAAGCAGCTTCATCTTAAAGCTGAAATCTAAATTTCCATCTCCCTTAAATATAGCTGACCCTAAGGTTTATTAGTTTTACATTTCGAGAAACTTTAAGAAATTATATACATCTAAATTAAGAAAAGATATTCAACTATTTTTAACCTAATGAAAGAGCTGCTCGGGTCAGTTTAATAGTATTTTATGACTTGAAACTATAAATGTTTCCAGGTCTGTTTGCAATGGCTCCCAAAAAATTTAATAGTGTAATAATTTCAACTAGATTGTATGAATTTTAGGATTGTAAAGTGTTTCGCATTTGCTGTTTTAGATTGTGCTAGGGTGAGCAGATGTTCAACAATTTGAAGTCTGTTTAGAATCTTCCTACCTGCTGGGTTTAATTTCAGAAGCAAGCACTGTTCTTGAAGATAGACAAATGTTATTTGTTCTTTTATCCGTGCACCACGTTGCACTAACTTTCATCATTTTGAGCTCTGTTTATGGCAGGTCATTTCTAGTCTGCATAAAACCTAATTGTAATCCTTAGAAGGAATGGGTAAATTTTGTTTCTGCATCTGTTAAATGAAATATTACAAAATCATTTGAGATATACAGGGAGAACATATTGATGTGTGATTCTGAGTTGAGAACAAAAACCCACAGATTTTCCAAATGTATTAAAAGAATACAAAGACTGTAAGAAAAGTGTTTATTTACCTTCTTTACAGGCTCGTAAAATATCAAATAAAATTATTTTACATTAATTTTTAATATATTAAATACAAGTGTATTCTAATTTTCTATGCTTAGATTTTTAAAATAATATCTATGGATGCATTCGTATTTACAATGAGTGATGACAGTTTTTCTCCTCATTGTCCTGATTCTGTTCACTTTATTTTCTGCATTATTGAATTAGTTCAGCCCTCCAGTACCACATTGAATAGAAGTAATGAGTAATGAGAACAGACCTTCTTGTTTTATTCTCTTTCTCAGAATAAAAGCATTCAGTGTTTGAACATTAATGGTTATTTAGAATTTTGTAGATTCTATCTTATTAAGGAAGTTTCCTTCTATTGATAGTATGCTAAATGTTCTAAACATAAAAGACTAGGGAACTATCAAATGATTTTTATTCATCCATTGAAGTAAAAATTTGACATTTCTAATTTATCCTGTTAATGTTTGAATTGTATTTATTGATTTAAGAATGCTAAATCAACTTTGCATTCCTAGAATGAACCTCACTTTTTCATGATATGTTAAATATCGTGATACACACACACACACACACACACACACACACACACATAGGATTTATTTGATGTATGTATTTGATGGATTTGATTTATTTGATTTACAAATATTTTATTTAGAATTTTACATTTATTGTCATGAATATATTGGTCTGTAATTTGCCTTCTTGTAATGTTCTTGTCAGATTTGGGTATCAAGGATATACTAAACTCATAAATTAATTAGGAGTATTTTCTCTTTTTCTCTTTAATGGAATAATTGGCATAGGAATTGCAATATTTCTACATTAAAATGCCTGTAAAAGCTCACTGGAAAAACTATATGGGAATAAAGTTTTGTTTTGCTGTTTTTGAGACAGGGTCTTGTTGTGTCACCCATGCTGGAGTGCAGTGGTACAAACAAGGCTCACTGCAGCCTCAGCTTACTGGGCTCAAATGATCTTCCCACCTCGGCCTCCCAAGCAGCTGGGACTACAGGTGCACACCACCACACCTGAATAATTATTTTATTTTTTGTAGAGAAAGGATATTGCTATGTTGCCAGGGCTGGTCTCAAACTCCTGGGCTCAAACAATCCCCGCCACCTTGGCTTCCCAAAGTGTTGAGATTACAGGCGTGAGCCACTGCATCCATCAGAATGAAGATTTCTTTTTTTTTTTTTTTGGTCAAAGATTTTACTTAGAGTTTTAATTTCTCTAACAATTACAGGACGTTTGTATTTCCTTTTTGTTCTTGTTTTAGCTTTATAAATTTTATTTTTCTAGGAAAATTTTAGAACATTCACTTCACTTGAATTCTAAAATTTGTTGCCAAAAGTTATTTATAATACCCACTAATGAAGTCGAAGATATTTCCATGATTAGTGATGGATCAACTATCTCTTAAGAAACTGGCCCTTTGAAGGATGCCAAGGAACCAACTCTTTCTTATGATAGTAAAAATAAAAATCAAGTTTTTCTATATAAGACACATGTTTGAGCAACCAAATAGTTGACAAGAGCTTTTTTACATATGTTTGTTGGCTGCATAAATGTCTTCTTTTGAGAACTGTCTGTTCATATCCTTCACCCACTTTTTGATGGGGTTGTTTGGTTTTTTTCTTGTAAATTTGTTTAAGTTCTTTGTAGATTCTGGATATTAGCCCTTTGTCAGATGGGTAGATTGCAAAAATTTTCTCCCATTCTGTAGGTTGTCTGTTCACTCTGATGGTAGTTTCTTTTGCTGTGCAGAAGCTCTTTAGTTTAATTAGATCCCATTTGTCAATTTTGGTTTTTGTTGCCATTGCTTTTGGTGTCATGAAGTCTTTGCCCGTGCCTATGTCGTGAATGGTATTGCCTAGGTTTTCTTCTAGGGTTTTTACGGTTTTAGGTCTTACGTTTAAGTCTTTAATCCATCTTGAGTTAATTTTTGTATAAGGTGTAAGGAAGGGGTCCAGTTTCAGTTTTCTGCATATGGCTAGCCGGTTTTCCCAACACCACTTATTAAACAAGGAATTCTTTCCCCATTGCTTGTTTTTGTCAGGTTTGTCAAAGATCAGATGGAGGTAGATGTGTAGTGTTATTTCTGAGGCCTCTGTTCTGTTCCATTGGTCTATATCTCTGTTTTGGTACCAGTACCATGCTGTTTTGGTTACTGTAGCTGACAAGAGAGGATCTCTTTTTAAAGAAATATTCTAGTTAATAATTGAAGAAGGAATAACAGAATCAGAATATCACTGTTTTGTATATAGCTGCTAACATCCAAGAGAAAGATGGATACTGAGTACCTTCTAATAGAAGTACACAAGGCCATTGCTATGATTTGGATATGGCTTGTTTGTCTCCACCAAAACTCATGTTGAAATTTGATCCCCAATGTGGCAGTGTTGTGAAGTAGGGCCTAGTGGGAGGTGTTTGGGTTGTAAGCACAGATCCCTCTTACATGATGTGGTGGTGTTATTGCAGGAGTGAGTGAATTCTCAGGAGAATGGATTAGTTCCTGAAAGAGTGGGTTGTTATAAAGCCAGGATGCCTCTCAGGTTTTCCCCTCTTTGTGTGTGTCTGCTTTCACCTTGACATTCTCTGCCATGTTGTAATGTAGCACAAAAACCCTCACCAGGAGCCAGGGACATGCCCTTAAACTTCTCAGCCTGCAAAACCAGGAACTAAATAAACCTCTTTTGTTTGTAAATGACCCAGTCTCAGGTATTCTTTTATAGCAACACAAAACAGACTTAGGCAGCCATCTATGAAGTAATGCCCCAAATTTACTAACTGAAATCAGATCACACCTGTAGATTTAATTTCCAATTTATAAGAAATGCAGACAACATGGAAACATATTAAATATCACCAGAAAAAGGCACTACTCAAAATCAAGACTATGAAAAATTCTACAGGATAAATGACAGTCTCTTTCCATAAGCAAATTGCACAGAAAAGAAACATGGAGACAGATTTTATAGATTAAAAGAGGCTTAAAGATATTTAAACAATTTGCAATACTTGAACCTTATTTAGCTCTCAATGCAGACAGCTTTAAAATGACACACTTAGCCCAATCATAATTCCAGCATTTGTGTGTGTGGGTACCAGCAAACTGAATCTAAAGTTTATATGGAAAGGCAAAAGACCCAGTATAGCCAACACAGTATTTAAGAAGAACAAAATTAGAGGACTGACACTACCTGACTTCAAGACTTACTATAAAGGTACTGTAATCAAGACAGTGGGACATTGGTAAAAGAAAACACAAACAGATCAATGGAGCAGAATAGACAGCCCAGAAATAGGCCCAAATAAATACAGTTAACTGGTCTTTGACAAAAGAATAAA